>NC_000001.11:244972000-245123515 GCF_000001405.40 Homo sapiens | reverse complement strand
TCTTGGTGAGCTGTGCCTCCTGCAAGGATTACCCCTTCAACACTGAGCTTTAAAGCTATAGGTACCTGCTCTTCCCCCAGTGCCTTGCACCTCTTTTTCCTGCCTCAGTTTTTCTAGCAAGTGTAGTATGGCCTGTGTCCCTTAACGGCGGGTCAGCAACCTGCAGACTGGCCAGCACGGGTGTGGTCAGGTTGATGCTGTGTCCAAAGAGCAGTTTGTGTAGACGAGACGTCTCTTCCAGTTTTCTTTGCCCTTTTTCTTGTCCGGCTGGGAGAAGTACATCCTGAATACCCTTTTCCAGCCAAAATGAAGCAAAACCTACGGTCCAAATAGTGCCACTTGGAGTTGCGTTTTGACTGCTGGAACTGTAATCCCTGTAGCCAGTCTCCTTGCCTCAAATAAAAAGTGAGGCTTTTTATTTGTGAGCTTAACAAAAAAGAATGAACTAAGGATATACATTACAACATGGATGAACCTCAAAAGCCTTACACTAAATGAAAGAAGCCAGACACAGAAGGCCACATATTGTATGATTGTGTTTATGTGAAATGCCCTGAAGAGGCAAATCCACAGACACACAGGAAGATTAGCGGTTGCCCGAGGATGACGGTGGGGGAAGGGGAACTGCTATTGGACATGGGGATTCTTTTTAAGATGATGGAAATGCTTTGTAAGTAGATAGGAGTGATAGTTGCACAGCACTGTGAAGATACTAGAATCCATTGAATTGCACACTTGAATGGGGTGAATGTTGGCTGGGCACAGTGGCTCACATCTGTAATCCTAACACTTTGGGAGGCTGAGGTGGCAGGATCGCTTGAACCCAGGAGTTTGAGACCAGCCTAAGCAACATAGCCAGACCCTGTCTCTACAAAAAATAAAAAAAAACATTAGCTGGGCGTGGTGGCATGCACCTGTGGTCCCAGCTACTCAGGAGGCTGAGGCGCGAGGACCCCTTGAGTCCAGGAGGTCGATGCTACAGTGAGCTGTGATCATGCCACCTGCATTCCAGCTGGGGTGACAGTGAAACCCTGTCTCCAGAAAAAAAGTGGGGAGGGGATGGTGAGTGTTGAGGTATGTGAATGACTATTATATAAGCTGTTGTTTGTAAATGGGCTAATATTAAAATTTAAACTGTGTGCTGTCACTTGCTACTAAGTCACTCTGCCTCGTTTCTTCACCCTTCGTTCAAGGTGTACCACATTCAACGCCATGCTTCTGGGTACTTCTAAGCAAATGTTTGGATGAATATGGAGAGAAGAGAACAGCTAGACAAAGCAAGATACAGAGAGGAGATCAAGAGTTAAGGAAGCAGCCGGGTGCGGTGGCTCATGCCTGTAATCCCAGAACTTTGGGAGGCTGAGGCGGGAGGATCACTTGAGGTCAGGAGTTCGAGACCAGGAGGTCACCAGACCATGGTGAAACCCCGTCTCTACTAAAAATACAGAAATTAGCCAGGCGTGGTGGTGTGTGCCTGTCATCCCAGCTGCTCAGGAGGCTGAGGCAGGAGAATCTCTTGAACCCGGGAGGTGGAGGTTGCAACGAGCCAAGATCACGCCACTGCACTTCAGCCTGGGCGACGGAGCGAAACTCCATCTAAAATAAAATAAAATAAAATAAGAAAAAAGAAAAGAAAAATAATTAAGAAAGCAAAAAAGTAGATGAAGAAGTAGCTAAGACAAGCCTAAGGCCTGTGAGGCTGCTGAGGGAATTTTCAGTAGAGGAGCCAGACGGAGGGGTTGATGCTTTGCCTCCTGCTGGAGGCACTGGGACTGCGGGAGATATTTGCTGACGCTGGACAGCCCTCGTTTTGGTTCAGATCCGTACCTCTCCCCCACGCAGCACATACACTTTAGGGAAGGCCAGCCCGGCCTTTGGTAGTAGAGGTGCAGCACTGTCTCAGGCCTAAGCTAGGCAGTGATGGTTCCAACAGGGACTTGGCTGATCAAGTCAGAATAAAGTTCAAGACTGTTTCATGGCTAGGGATAGAGGTATTGTTTCCTGGTGATCTGTCTCTGCAAGGGAAAGACCATGGGCTGTCTCTGCCATCTTGAGGATATGAGGAAGGGGGCTGCCTGAAAATGAAGCCAACCCAAAGAAACAGATGCAAGAATTGGATTCTGATCATGGCATCTGAGCCCTGGATCAAGCTGCATCTGAAGCTATGTCTGCTTTTGGACTCTTCCGTTACATATAAGCCAGTTAATTCCTTTTATGGGTTGAGCTTTCTGTTACTTGGAACAGCAACGATCACATCTATGGTCAAATGATAATTTTGTAAAATACAAAGACTGCAAATACACCTCCGTATTTCCCTATTATATCACTTATTTCTTTGTTACAGGTTTATAAAAAGGGGCATAAAACTTCCTGAAAATTCTGCCTACATAACATTTGTATGAGTTTCATAATTAATAAAAATATACAAAGGTTTCAAAACTAAAGAAACTTAAGAAAAATGTAGTTGACCAAATTAATTTTGAACTGTATTTGCCCTAAATATTTTAAAAGTAGAAGTCTATGCTTGACAAACCCAGATGAACCTGGCTTAACACCATTCCTGTCAACACCTCCACTGTCCGGTCTTTGTAAAAGGCCAGGTGTCATATTGTTTGAGGCTTTAGCGGCCTGCAAGGCAAAGTGGGCCAAACCTAACATTGCTTTTAACTGGTAATCTGCCCAAATTGCATTATTCCACGTTATTCATGTATCACCCCCGAGGTGCCTTCCCATTGAAGAAATTAGCTCAGAAGCTCTTCATTTAAGGTGCGAAGTGACAGGTGTCTCTGTATCTAAAATGGAAATTATAGCAATTGCTGAAAATGTTGCAATCACTGCTTGGGTATACAAGAGACACACCCAAAATAAAATGTTTGAAAAATGCTGAAAATAAAAGGATAAGCAAAAGTCTACCAGGCAAAAGAAAATGAGGAAAAGGCTGAAGTCTAGTTCTACATGAACCAGAACAGCCACTGCAATTTAAACTCGAATTTCTGTTCTGAACAGCATTTTTGTCAGGAAAAAAATACAAATAATAAACAAATAAATCAGAGTTTCTGAAAGATGGAAAACTGCTTCCATATTCTTGAGAAGGGAACTGGTTAAATAAAATATGGCACATTCACGCAATAGAATACTACACAGACATTGAGATCGATGAGGTGGGTATTTATACAATTAGGAACTGAGCGTATGGGACCTGTTGCTTAGTGAGAAAAGTGTGATGTGTAGAGATGCGTGAAGGGCGCATAAGGATGCTACCTGCCTGTTCACACAAGGATTCCCTGGAATCGGTGCACTCAGGGGAGAGGGATCCGAGTGGTTTTGGGACACATTTATAAAAAAAAATTAGTTTTTACTCTATGAGCCTTCATACCTTTTGAATTTTGTACCACATATATTTTATTCATTCAAAAAAATAAATTAGGTCAGTTTCTTTTTTTACATCTTTCAGATTATGGTCATCCATCTTATTTTAACTAAATGGCCAACAGCCTCTATCTGATGCCCCAGCATTATCCACTGGGTTCAGTTCCTTGCTCTTTTATTTATTTACTTATTTACTTATTTTTTATTTTTTTTTGAGACGGGGTCTCGCTCTGTTGCCCAGGCTGGAGTGCAGTTGCATGATCTAGGCTCACTGCAAGCTCCACCTCCTGGGTTCACGCCATTCTCCTGCCTCAGCCTCCCGAGTAGCTGGGACTACAGGCACCTGCCACCACGTGTGGCTAATTCGTTCTATTTTTAGTAGAGACGGGGCTTCACCATGTTAGCCAGGATGGTCTTGATCTCCTGACCTTGTGATCCGCATGCCTCGGCCTCCCAAAGTGTTGGGATTACAGGCGTGAGCCACCGTGCCCAGCCTCCTTTTTTTTTTTAGACAGGGTCTTGCTCTGTTGCCCAGGCTGGAGCACAGTGGCGTGATCATGGCTCACTTCAGCCTCCTGCCTTAGCCTCCCATGTAGCTGGGACTACAGGCATGCATCACCATGCCCAGTTACTTTTAAATTTTTTTTGTAGAGACAGGGCCTCGCTTTGTTGCCGAGACTGGTCTCCAACTCCTGGCCTCCTGCCTCGGCCTCCCAAAATGCTGAGATTACAGGCATGAGCCACTGTGCCAGGCTCAGTTCTTTACCCTTAATGGTTACTTTTAGTATGAAAAAAAAAAAAACTCTCCAATTTCTTGTATATTGCTCTTTGATGAAAGAATTTGGGGTTAACCAACCCTTAATGTTGCATTTCACTTCATATTCGCACTTCATTATTATTTTGACCACTAGAAGTGAGAAATTATTTTACTGAAAATCATGAATATGCCTTGGTCAAGAGTTCACACTCTTTTTTTCTGTTTAATTAGAAGTACTTGCTTGAATAAACTGTAAACTTACCCATGATTTCCACTTGTGTTATTAATGGTTCTAGCAAACTGGAATTTTCCCACCCTCGCATAACAGCCAGAGGCATGGGTTGGGCTCCGCCAGCATCTCATACCACCAGCAACCAGACAATGCCCAATTCCCTACAGCCTTGGCCCTGCCCCATCATCAAGAATGAGTCAATCCCTCCCCTCTCCCTAGCTGAGGAGCTCATCAGCTGTCCCATGCAAGTAAAGTTCTCTCCTTATATAATGTCTTCTGGAAATCAAAGCATTTCATCAACTGTTGTTATCATTATTTTTTTCTTTTCTTTTCTTTTCTTTTCTTTTCTTTTCTTTTCTTTTTTTGAGATGGCGTTTTGCTCTTGTTGCCCAGGCTGGAGTGCAGTGGTGCGATCTTGGCTTACCACAACCTCCGCCTCCTGGGGCTCAAGCGATTCTCCTGCCTCAGCCTCCTGAGTAGCTGGGATTACAGGCATGCACCACCACGCCAGGCTAATTTTGTATTTTTAGTAGAGACGGGGTTTCTCCCTGTTGGTCAGGCTGATCTCGTACTCCCGACCTTAGGCAGTCTGCCTGCCTCAGCCTCCCAAAGTGCTGGGATTACAGGCGTGAGCCACTGCGCCCGGCTTACTGTCATTGTTTTACAGCACGTAGTATCTTCCCGATAAAGGTTTCTCACTCGTTTTTAAAATGCTCCACAAGGTGACACATGGTGTTCTCCCAGTTCTCCGAAGAAAGCTGCAGGGGCAAACTTCGAGGGCCTTCAGGAAGCCACAACCTCACCTGGCTCCCTCCCCAGCCAAGCCCAGCGCACCTGTCCCTGTGTTGTTCTTGGCTACTCTTCTGTCCTTCAAGATTTACTGATGGTGTAATGGAAGAGACTAGGCTGCGATTTCAATCTCAAAATGCACCCTAGGGCCAGGGTTTGCTCTAATTCTCCCTCATCTATTTCTCATGGCAGATCTTAAATATTTTTGACACTAGGGTCTTTCAGTTCTCGGTCTAAGTGTGCAGGAAGTCAGACAGGGCAGGCCCATCACGTAGTTTTGTAATTATTCAAACTTGAGTAATGGAATTCTCAGGTAGCGTAATAGAGGTTTTTGCTTAAGTAAACATCCCACAGCCTGGAAGTCATCATTTCCCATTTTAAGCGTATTTATTTATTTATTGGAGACAGAGTCTCACTCTGTCACCCAGGCTGGAGTGCAGTGGCACAATCTTGGCTCACTGCAACCTCCACCTCTGGGTTCAAGCAA
Organism: Homo sapiens; assembly: GCF_000001405.40. Classification (NCBI taxonomy): domain Eukaryota; kingdom Metazoa; phylum Chordata; class Mammalia; order Primates; family Hominidae; genus Homo; species Homo sapiens. The sequence goes on along the minus strand of NC_000001.11, from coordinate 245,117,881 downwards.
GTCTCATGCCTCAGCCTCCCAAGCAGCTGGGACTACAGGTGCACACCACCACACTCAGCTAATTTGTGTATTTTTAGTAGAGATGAGGTTTTGCCACGTTGGCCAGGCTGGTCTTGAACTCCTGGCCTCAAGCGATCCGCTTGCCTTGGCCTCCCAAAGTGCTGGGATTATAGACATGAGCCACCGTGCCTGCCCTGAAGCATATTTAAAACTAAGTGGATGTGTGAGGTCAGGAGTTAGAGACCAGCCTGACCAACATGGTGAAACTTCATCTCTACTAAAAATACAGAATTAGCTGGGCATGGTGGTGCACGCCTGTAATCCCAGCTCCTTGGGAGGCTGAGGAAAGAGAATCGCTTGAACCTGGGAGGCGAAGTTGCACTGAGTCAAGATTGCACCACTGCAGTCCAGCCTGGGCAACAAGAGGGAAACTTCATCTCAAAAATAAATAAATAAAATAAAATTAAAATAAAAATAAGTGGATGTGCTTTATTTTCTCTGTTATCATTTATCAAAAGAAGGAAACCAGGCCGGGCACGGTGGCTCATGCCTGTAATCCTAGCACTTTGGGAGGCTGAGGCAGGTGGATCACTTGAGGTCAGGAGTTCGAGACCAGCCTGGCCAACATGGTGAAACCCTGTCTCTACTAAAATACAAAGAAATTAGCCGGGTGTGGTGGTGAGTGCCTGTCATCCCAGCTACTCAGGAGGCTGAGGCAGGAGAATCACTGGAACCCGGGAAGCAGAGGTTGCAGTGAGCAGAGATTGTACCACTGCCCTCCAGCCTGGCAACAGAGCAAGACTCTGTCTCACAAAAAAGAGAAGGAAACCAGACTTAATAACAACAATCTGAATGCAAATTGCTTAACCTTGGATATCTTTGGGAGCTTCCCAGTATTGGTGAAAAGAATGAAGAAAAACAATTTTCTTTGCAGGGCTTACAGGCTTTTACATTGATATTTCTGAATGTCAGATAAAATCGTTGCTGGCTTTATAAGTATTAACCACAGAAGGAAGATAAAAACAAAATATTTTGTACTACACAGCACACAAGAAAAAGCTAAGGAGACAGGATTTTATTATACAGCTCTTCCGTGTATTTAGTTGATAAAATATTTCTACAAGACCAGCTTTTATGCTACTTTGACAACATTAATCTTTGTGTCTATAGTTTAAGATAAAAAATAGGTTTTAGCCAGATACTCAAGGTGACTGAAAGCCTTACAAAAAACAAATAACAATTTTATCTATATGGTATAAAATACAAACAAGAAATCTAGGCACTTTCCTCTTGCCCTGGAGAGTTTCTTGTTCTGACGCCACCTCTGTTTGACGAGGTGGACACTAGCTAGCTCTTGGGGCTTTGTGCTCTTGCAGATGCCAGCTCCACCCGAAACTTCCTATTTGTCCTTTAAGACACAGCTCAGATGTCACCTCCTAATTTCTAGACTCCTCAAGCCAAAGTTTTTTTTGTTTTGTTTTGTTTTGTTTTTAAGAGGCAAGGTCTCACTCCATTGCCCAGGCTGGAGTGCAGTGACTCAGTCAAGGCTCGCTGCAGCCTCTAACTCTTGGCCTCAAGCGATCCTCCCAAGCAGCCTTCACTTCCGCCTCCCAAGTAATTGGGATATAGGTGTGAGTAACCACACCTGGCTAATTTTCTTTCTTTTTTTTTTCCTGGTACAGATAGGATCTTTAGGCCAGGCACAGTGGCTCATGTCTATAATCCTAGCACTTTGAGAGACTGAGGCAGGCGGATCACTTGAGGCCAGGAGTTCGAGACCAGCCTGGCCAACATGGTAAAGCCCCGTCTCTACTAAAAATACAAAAACACTAGCCAGGCATGGCGATGGTACCTGTAATCCCAGCTACTCAGGAGGCTGAGGCAAGAGAATTGCTTGAACCCGGGAGGCAGAGGCTACAGTGACCTGAGATCACGCCACTGCACTCCAGCCTAGGCGACAGAGTGAGACCCTGTCTCAAAAAAAAAAAAAAAAAGAGATAGGATCTCACTCTGTTGCCCAAGCTGGTCTCAAACTCCTGGCCTCAAAGAATCCTCCTGCCGAGCCACGGCACCAGGCCCAGGTGGTCATTTTGTTTTCTGTGCTCTTTGCCCATCAGCAGTGCTTTGTCCATCATTCTGCCCTGGTGTTGGCCACTGGTGTGTGATTTGCCTGTTCACACGCCCACCTCCCTCACTAGACAGCCAGCCCTATGAGGGCAGGCACTGTGCACGATGGTTCTTTGAGCCCTGCTACATAGTTTGGTGTGCCATGCTCAAGGAAGGCACTTACTGATGAATAAATAAATGAATGACAGTGACTGAAAGAATGAATGAGTCCTACATGTCAGAGTTGGCAAAAAGAGGTAAGTTGAGAAACTATTAACCCACTGTCACCAGGTTCCCTGAACTTCACTTCTCAACTAAAAAGTGCACCTTCCCAGAAGGGACAGCCACTCCTGAAGATCCAGGAAGAAACACTATTCCCTCCCCATTGCTAAAGAGTGGGCAATAATTTTTTTAAATAAGTAACTTAAAGCCAGGCAGGGTGGCTCACGCCTGTAATCCCAACACTTTGGGAGGCTGAGGCAGGCAGATTGCTTGAACTCAGGAGTTTGAGATCAGTCTGGGCAACATGGTGAAACCCCATCTCTACAAAAAATACAAAAATTAGCCAGGTGAAGTGGCGTGCCTATAGTCTTAGCTACTTGGGAGGCTGAGGCAGGAGAACTGCTTGAACTGGGGAGGTCGAGGCTGCATGAGCCGAGATCGTGCCACTGCACTCCAGCCTGGATGACAGAGCGAGACCCTGTCTCAAAATAAATAAATGAATAAATAATAAAATAAATAATTTAAATCTCAGCTGGGGACGGTGGCTCACGCCTGTAATCCCAGCACTTTGGGAGGCTGAGGCGGGTGGATCACAAGGTCACGAGATCGAGACCATCCTGACCAACATGGCAGAACCCCATCTCTACTAAAAATACAAAAATTAGTTGGGCATGGTGGCATGTGCCTCTAGTCCCAGCTACTCGGGAGGCTGAGGCAAGAGAATCGCTTAAACCCAGAAGGCAGAGGTTGCACCGAGCCAAGATCACTGTGCCCTCCAGCTTGGGCAACAGAGCAAGACTCTGTCTCAAAAATAATAAATAATAATGATCATAATTTAAATCCTTGATTAATAGCCTCTCCCTTTACTACACTTTTATGAAATAAAAAATCTGCCCTATTTCACCAAACGAACAGGCAGGCTGTTCACGCATCGGTGAATTTCCTCTTGAACGAGTCCTCAGCCTGACAGGAAGACTGGCAGGAACCGGCTGCTGGCCAACCACTTGGCTTTGCATGGTGGTGTCCCCATGGATGTTGTACATGAAGGAATCTAGGGACATCTTAGGAAGACAATTTTTTTTTTTTTTTTAGATGGAGTCTCACTCTGTCGCCCAGGCTGGAGTGCAGTGGCGTGACCTCAGCTCACTGCAACCTCTGCCTCCGGGTTTCAAGCAATTCTTCTGCCTCAGCCTCCCAAGCAGCTGGGATTACAGGCACCTGCCACCACACCTGGCTAATTTTTTTGTATTTTTAGCAGAAACAGGGTTTCACCATATCGGCCAGGCTGCTCTTGAACTCCTGAACTTGTGACCCGCCTGCCTCGGCCTCCCAAAGTGCTGGGATTACAGGTGTGAGCCACCACACCCGGCCCAGGCAGACAATTTTTAAAAAAAAGAATCCCAACCAGTGAGGCCTAAGCTACCAGTAAGGGAGTTGGTAGCAGATCCCAAGCAATGGCGTGACAGAAACAACATCCTGCTTTTGGATGCTTTTAAAATGAATTGCTTCCTTTTCCTTTTCACTTCTGTGAAAAATAAAATGTAACAGAACAAAATCCACTCTCTTTTATTTCCAGACTGGACATCACAGTGTACCAATGGTTGTCCCAACAATGACAAACACCAGCCTTGGACCGTGGAGTCGGGCAGGTCTGAGTTGGGAGCCCCACGTCATCACTTGCTAGTACCATGCCCTTAATCTCTGTGTGTGTCAGCTTTTCTAACTAAACTGGGGACAAGAGCCATCACCGTAAGCTTCTTGTTCTTGGTGGGATTAAATGAGATAAAGCGCGTAAAGTGTCGAGTGTGGCGTTTGGCACATGACAGATGCTTAGTGACTGTTAGGTGTTAATATTATTATTGTTTGTTATTACTTTAATATATTTCCAGCATTCGTTCCTGTTCTCATATTTGAACACGTTAATGTTCGTATTGTATGATCATAAGTGGCATATTAATTTTAGGTTAGAAATTACCATATTTTCTATAGCCAGCTCCTCTTTCTACGGCACTTTTTCCCAGGAGCTGCCATTTCAGACAATAACCACGTCTTCAACTTTTCTGTTTCTCGCAGTACTTAGCACAGTGCAGAGCACACAGCGGGCCTTCTAAAATGCTGCTGAATTGAACAATGAGAAGACAACAGAGTAACGTGACGATATAGTCTGTGCTCTAGACATGGCCTGTGGTCAGCAACCTCCACTAATTGAGTTAAGATCCCTGAAAGCAACTCTTAGATACATTCTTAAAAGCTTTTCTCAGGATCTTTATGAAGGAGCGCCTGGGAACCTCATAACACTGGCATTTTCATCATGTCTTACTTGGCTGACTCGCCTGTAAGACACGGTGATAAGCTCTTAGGGGGGAAACTTTATAGGAAAAATAATCTTGGAACCACAGCAGAATAAGCAAACATATTCTTTAAGGACCAAGGTAAGGTGTATCCTGTTTTTTAAAATATAAGATACTACTGTAAGAATCACACTCAAAATAGTATCAGGGGCCAGGTGCAGTGGCTCACGCCTGTAATCCCAACACTTTGGGAGGCCGAGGCAGGTGGATCACTTGAGGTCAGGAGTTCGAGACCAACCTGGCCAACATGGTGAAACCACTGTCTCTACCAAAATTAAAAAATTAGCTGGGCGTGGTGGCAGACACCTGTAATCCCAGCTACTTGGGAGGCTGAGGCAGGAGAACTGCTTGAACTCAGGAGGCGGAGGCTGCAGTGAGCCAAGACCGTGCCACTGCACTCCAGCCTGGGTGACAGAGAGAGACTCCATCTCAAAAAAAAAAAAAAAGGTAACATGAAGGAAGAACGGGAGTTACTGTTTGAGGAGTATGGAATTTCCATTTGGAATAAGAAAGTTCTAGAGAAGGATCAGGGTGATGGCTGCACGACAATGTGAATTTATTTAATCCCCCTGGACTATATGCATGGAAGTGGTTAAAATGGTAAACTTGATGTTATGTATATTCCACCACAGTTAAGTAAAAGTATAAAGAAGTTTAAAAGTTACCTGCTTTCACAATGTCTCTAAGCATATGAACACACATATATAGTAAAATTTTCAATAACCTTTTCTCACTCAGCTGCATATTTCTTTTTTAAGCTCCAATAATCTTAAAGGTAACTTTAAATGAAATAAGTAAAGGAATAAGGATCATCCATAAAAACAAATAAGGCCGGGTGCAGTAGCTCACACCTGTAATCCCAGCACTTTGGGAGGCCGAGGCAGGCAGATCGCCTGAGGTCGGCAGTTCAAGACCAGCCTGACCAACATGGAGAAACCCCATCTCTAGTAAAAATACAAAATTAGCCGGGTGTGGTGGCGTGCGCCTGTAATCCCAGCTACTTGAGAGGCTGAGGCAGGAGCATCGCTTGAACCCGGGAGGCGGAGGTTGCAGTGAGCGGAAATTGTGCCATTGCACGCCAGCCTGGGCAACAAGAGCGAAACTCTGTCTAAAAAACAAACAAACAAACAAAAACAAATAATAACGTCTTCCAGATTATCTTTTTTCCTGAGACAGGATCTTGCTCTGTCACCCAGGCTGGAGTGCAGTGGCGCAAACACTTCCCACTGCAGCCTCAACTTCCTAGGCTCAAGCAATCCTCTGGCCTCAGCCTGCAGAGTAGCTGGTACTACAGGTGCGTGCCACACCCAGCTAATTTTTTTTTATTTGTATAGACACGGAGTCTCACTACATTTCCCAGGCTGGTCTTGAACTCTTGGGCTCAAGTCATCCTCCTGCCTCAGCCTCCCAAAATGCTGGGATTACAGACATGAGCTACTATGTCCCACCCCAGTTATCTGATGTTGGCCATAGGACAGCAGGGTTTTCTAAAAGTCCCCTTACCCCTGGACCCCTTAAACTTTAGGTGGGTTCAGGTGCCAACAGGCATGATGTTTACAAAAGAAATTTCAAGGTCAGAAGGAACAGGCTGCCTTTGATGAAAGTGAAGAGAAGACAGACAAAGAAAGGAGGCACTGCGAATACGTTCAAGAGGAAACAAAGAAGCCAAAATCTATAAATATGAGTCAAAGACATTCACGTCACCTTCATTAGTCTATTCATTTTGCACCAACTGCATTGTAAACAAAGTGTTCTTCGCTCTGTGCAGTCAATATTCTGCAAATGACTTTGGAAGATTCGGCCAGGTTGAGGGGAGAAGGAGCCATACTTTCCTTTTACAACTAGACACTTTGCCCTGCGGTCAGCAGGTGGGCAGAGGCTGGGAGTGCTGCTGTCCCTGCAGGTCACCGGGTATCAGACCCACCCACATGCATTTGGTGGTCTCGACTCAGTGCCCACGAGTGCAGACCTGGGTGAAGAAAGGAGGAGGAGGTCTGACTCCCTGCTGCCTTTTAAAGATATCTTTGCTGCTCTTTCTCATTATCCCCTATTGCCAAAAAGTAAATTATAAAGTTAATTTTTAACAGCAAAGCATGCATGCTTTTCTGGTATAAATTTATTAGCAGGTTCAGTATTCTGATTGTGAAACCAGGTTTTCATAAACATGCACATGTAGTTTTTTTTTAATTAAAAAATTTATTTTTTCTTAGCACTCTGTGAGCTGGTATACCATAGCTGACATAGGTAGAAGTTTCTTCCCAAAAAGGAGCTTTCTTTCCTCCCATTTTATAGTGTCTAAGTCCACACTATAACCACACTAAAAGCTAGCAAACCCTTCTGGCTGTTGGTGTCAATGCAGAAGCCCTTTAAGGAACAAAGGGTGAGGAGGCCACTAACATTTCCTCTTAATGCCTTCTGTGGCCACAGAGCCACTGACCACTGTGACTTACACATGCCCTATAAACATGTCCCAAATTGCAGAGCCTGAAGAGCTTTCAAAGAATTTTTGTTTGTATGTTTTTGCCTTCCATACACAAACTGGAAGAAACAATAGGCTCCTCCTTGATTTGGGCAAAGGCCCTGCTCTGGCCCTCAGCGGGGCGCTGTCTGGCTGGCAGGCCATCTGTCTGTGGTCCATTAGAGTTAATGTTCTTATTTCTTTCCTGCCCAGCAGAATATGCCCAGAAAAGTCAAAACTAGGTCCTGTCTTATTTAAGAAGTCTCATTCTTCAGTATTTGTGTGCATGGTATTGAAACAAAGTCAACATTCATTCAACTTAATTCTTTGTTTTGTTTTGTTTTGTTTTGTTTTGTTTTTTGAGAAGGAACCTCATTCTGTCGCCCAGGTTAGAATGCAGTGGTGCAATCTCGGCTCACAGCAACCTCCACCTCCTGGGTTCAAGTGATTCTCCTGCCTCAGCTCTCTGAGTAGCTGGGACTACAGGCGTGCATCACCATGCTCGACTGATTTTTTGTATTTTTAATAGAGATGAGGTTTCACCATGTTGGCCAGGCTGGTCTCGAACTCCTGACCTCAAGTGATCCGCCTGCCTCCGCCTCCCAAAGTGCTGGGATTACAAGCGTGAGCCACTGTGCCCAGCAGAATTCAACTTAATGCTCTTTTAAAAGTTAACGAAGTCTTTACTCCAGTTACGCAATTGGCCAAGCATTGAAGATTAAAATGGGAGGGACTTATGGTTTAAAAGGGAAGTCAGATGATAAATACTTACACTACAAGATAACACACGCTTAATAAAGACATCCACATAAAAAAAGTACCATAGGCTATGGGAAGACAGAGCTGATAGCACATCTATTTAGGTGAGAAGGAGCAAGGACAGGCCACCGCCGAGCTGAGGCAGGAAGTCTGAGGTAGTTCAGCCCAGTGGTTAGTGCCTCGCACAGGCTTTGTAGCAGAGAGCCGGGTCTCCCAACATGGCCCTGCCACTTGCTAGCTTTGTGCCAGAGGCATTGAGATAACCTCTCCGAGCTGTGATTTCCTTACCTGTAGAATGGAAGTGATCATTCTTTTTAGCTAGTCAACTCATATGCTATTATAGGGGTTACATTAAATCAACTAACATACATAAATGACTCTGCAGGTAGCAGGTGCCCAGTACGTGCGGCCAGTATTATCAGTTAACCTAAAAGCGAAGGGTGATGTGGAGGAAAGAGCGATGCACACCCAGGCGTACCGGCATGAGGGTGCTTGTCTTCTTCAGGAAAGACCTCAGAACCCTTGTGTGAATGGAGGGAAGCAGTGCAGGGGAGGAGGCCAGAAAGGCCAGCTGTGGGCAGTGGGGACCTCTGGGGATTATTAAGCAGGAGGGTAATGAGACAGAGATTGTCCCTGTCCTTCCATCTGTGCCCCTCTCTAGCCCTTTGAGCCTTTCCATTGCAATAGCTGGCTTGACTTCTACTGCCTAAGGGGTTCATGAGCCCCCTGCCTCCAAGTACATGCAGGAGGGGAATGAACTGCTACAGAATTGACACCTCTCATTGCCTGATGAGAGTCGGAGTATAAATAACCGAGCTCTCTCGCCCCTCAGGCAGGATATCTCTGAGGCATGTATTCTACGAGACTCCTAGAGTTGCCCAGCAAGATTCAGCTCCAGTTACGTGCAGAGGTAACTGGCTCGACAACACACCCTTTACTGGCCTGCTTCCCTTTCCTGTCTTCCTTCCCTACTCACATACTATTGTTTCCTCCCAAATACAACAACTACACCAGAATCCTCGTTTCAGGTTCTGCTTTTGACAAAACCCATACTGAGGTACAAGCCATGGCCATATCTATTTAGAAAAATACTTCTAAAAGCAGAGGAATAATGGATCGGATGGGGCTGAGCCTAGAGGCAGAGTTAGGAGGCTATGGCAACTGTCAAGGAAGGAGGGGATGAGGGCTGGAATCATCTCGTATTATAGGAGTAGAGTGGAAGGAGGGACCCCAGAGACGCTGAGGCAAGTCCTAGAGACTGATGCCTGTGGTCTAGGTTGGACAGAAAAGAGAGCTGAGAGGAGGAGGAATAGACTCTGCTGCATATGAGAGACCAGCACAACATTCAGCTGGAGAATGTCTCAGTGAAAGGCTGGATCAAAGGTTTGGATCTGGGAGTCCTTGCAAGTGTAGCTGGGGTCACGGGGATGAATGAGGCTACTGGGAGAGATGAAAGAAGTTGAGCTGAGGCTAGAATCCTGGGAACACTAATGGTTAAGGGTGGAAATAGAAAGAGGCCTCAGTAAGACATAGAAGCAATAGTCAAAGAGAAAAGGGATAACCCGGAAACAATGTGTCTTTTCATCCAAGGAAGAATTTCAGCAAGGAGGCATCACTGGCAAGCATTCAATGTTGCAGTGAATTCAAAAAACGTGAAGAACTGGACACAGGCTGCTGGGATTGGCAATGGGCATGTCGCTGAGGACCTCAGCAGTCTCAGTAAGTACTGGAGACAGAGTGAGACTGCAGGAGGCTGGGAAATGGAAGGGAGGGGCAGCAAGCTCAGGGTGAGGGGAACATTTCTTCAGAATGCTTGGCGGTGGAGGGAGGGAAAGAGAGACTGGGTGACGGGTGGGTGACGGGGAGAGACGTCTAAAGGAAAGGAAGGTGTTCTTTGAAAAGACGGGGTGGACTTGACTAAGACTGTGGTCTGAAAGCGATAAGCACAGGGATGGTGACAAAGTCAAGGGGAGAGCATGGAGGGAATCTCTGGTGGAGGAAGGGCAGTGAGGAGGTAGCCCGGAGTGGGAACAACAGCAGAGGAGGAGTTAGCCTCCAGGAGGACGCGGAGCTTCTGAGAGCGGTGACGAGGTGAGGATGGATGAAATCACAGGTAAGCTTAGAGATGATGACTATTGTGCCCAGCACAACTGTGCTTGGAGGGAATCTGGGCTGGGCTGGGGTTGGTAGTGGAGAGTGTCACCAACTAAAGGGTAGCTCTGAAAAAGGGGCTGCTTTAGGAGCCCGGTGCCTGGAGTGGTGCACAGGGGGCTGTGATTGCCTGGAAACCGAGCAGGACTGAGAACCAGGAGAGGGCAGCGTGGAGGAGGAGCCCCTGCCAAATGCAAGCAGCCCTGGGAGGCTGCGTCAGACAGCAAAGGCAGGAGGTGACCTGCGCCACAGTCCCTGCCCCATCAGTGCCCCACAGCGGCACTTCTGCCCCTAGAGCTCTTAGATGCCAGTTGGTCTGTGAAAGGGAGATTTGGCGGTGTTAGAGGCCAAAGGTTCTACGCTCTCTGCTGAATAAGAGGCGAGGTCCTCCGATCAGAACAGAAGGACCCGGGGTGCACGGCCTTGCTGAAGAGTTGTAAAGATTAACTTAGTGTTTATTAAGGGAAGTTAGTGTTGTGTGCGATGTGCAGTCCCATAGTGCCTGGGCCAGTGACCCCACCCCTGTCCCCCACTTGCCTCCTTTCCGCTTTCTGGGTGCAGAGTCTTCCTTTCTGCCCCTGTGCTCGGCTCTCACGCCTGCCCACTCGACCTCACTCCTGCCTCGCTGCTCTCAGGACCGACTCCTTGACGTAGCCATTTATGTGGGTGACATCATCAGGAAACCAGAAGTGCAGGGTTTCTTTGGAATCGGATTACAACTGTTTGGAAATAGTTCTAGTTCCCATGTCATATGAATTCCTTTTTGTTTGTTTTTTGTTTTGTTTGTGTTGAGACAGAGTTTCACTCTTGTCACCCAGGCTGGAGTGCAATGGCGCAATCTTGGCTCACTGCAACCTCCGCCTCCCGGGTTCCAGCGATTCTCCTGCCTCAGCCTCCCGAGTGGCTGGGATTACAGGCACCCGCCACCACACCCAGCTAATTTTTGTATTTTTAGTAGAGACGGGGTTTTGCCATGTTGGCCAGCCAGGCTGGTCTCAAACACCTCAGGTGATCCGTCAGCCTCAGCCTCCCAAAGTGCTGAGATTACAGGGGTGAACCACTGCACCAGGCCACCATATCATATGAATTCTTAATTCCTAGATCAAGAAAATCTTGAAATTATCTGGTTAATCCTGGTTATTCCTGCAGAAATTTCCCCAACTTTCTACCTAGCTTACAAATCCAAATTTATTGGTAACCAGTTCATATCGATGAATGACAAAATTTAAAATGGAAGAAACATAGATATAACAAGGTGCAAGTTTGAGTTGTGTGAACATTTTTCTTATTTTTAAATATACATTATTTTAAATATACAATTTAAATATATTAAATATTGAAATATATTTAAATGGTTGTAAATGTTAATTATTTAACATAGGGAAGAGTTATATTCAGAATTATTATGGAATTCATGGTGTACTGTTATCATTTATCTAAATAATTATTCTAAATCATCTTTTTCCTTATAACCCTATGATATTTGAAACCTGTTTTATCAGTCTGTGATAGCTTCATTAAATCAAGTCCAAACACTTCACTTCCTCCCAGAGAGATTCACTGTGACAGAAAGAGCAGTGTAACTGCTAATGCAAACACTGTAAATCACCAGAAACTAATAAGGGAAGAAGAATGTTACCAAGTGTGGTTTGGCTAGCACACAAGCCAAAGGGAGGCTTATACGTCTCATAAGGGATACAGGCAATTTTAAGGCCCACCTATGACACACACACACTTACGAAAGTAAAATGCATATTTCTGTTTGTTTTCCAGAGACAGGGTCTTGCTCTGTTGTCCAGGCTGGAGTGCAATACTGCAGCCTCGAACTCCTGGGCTCAAGTGATCCTCCTGCCTCGGCCTCCTCAGTAGCTGGGACTACAGGCATGTGCCACCATACCCAGCTAATTTTTTAAAAATTTTTGTAGAGATGGGGTCTCACTTTGTTGCCCAGGCGTCTCTCAAACTCCTGGCCTCAGGTGAACTTCCTGCCTTGGCCTCCCAAAGTGTTGGGATTATGGGCGTGAGCCACAGCATCCAGCCAAAAATGCATGTTTTCAAGAGAAATCAAGAAATATTTTGCTTGAAAAATTAAAGAAAAGAAGCAAACTGCTGTGCCTTTTCTGAACAAACAGTATTTCAAAGAAGCCGAATAGTTGATGGCAGAATATTATCTTGGGTTTTTGTTTTTGTTTTTTGTTTTTTTTTTTTTTTTGAGATGGGGTCTTGCTCTGTGGCCCAGGCTGAAGCGCAATGGTGTGATCATGGCTCACTGCAACCGCCATGTCCTGGGCTCAGGTTATACTCCCTGAGCCCTGAGCCCCCTGAGTAGCTGGGACTACAGGCACACACCACCATGCCTGGCTAATTTTTCTATTTTTAGTAGAGATGGGCTTTCTCCATGTTGCCCAGGCTGGTCTTCAGAAAATTATCTTTAATAGAGGAATTCCACTGCATAAATGAAGAAGGAATGATAGAATCTTTTTAAAAAAAAATCACCATTTTGCAACTCCTACTAAAATAATGTTAATGGCAACCATTAGGTGACAGGTTGATGGAGAGCTTCATACAGCCTAGATCAGGCTGACAGCTACTGAGTATGAGGAGTGACAAAAAGAGACAATCCAGACATTATGTTACCTCCTGAAGGAAGGCAATAAAAATTCACCACTTCCAATGAAGTTGATTTGCAAGGAAAGAAAAAACAAAAACAAAACTGAACTTGACATTGATCGAGCCTCTAGATATAAAAATTGGTCTACGGGAAATACAGGGAATAGAGGGACGTGTTAAACACAACCACAGAAATGCAATCGGACAAGTCCAACGTGCGGACAATTCTACAGGACCAAAGACCAGGCTCTTCAACAAATGAAAGACAAGAACAAAAGGGGAGGGAAAGTTAAAGATTTAGATACGCATCAACCAAATGCAACACGAGGACCTTGTTTGGATCCTGATTGGAATAAACCAATGGTAAAAGCATATTTATGAGACAAGAGCGGAAATTTGAAAGTATTGCATATCGGACATTACAGAATTATTGTTAGCTTTTTAAGATATGATCGTGGTTTAATGGTTGTGTGGGGAAAAGGGGAAGGAGGTCCTTATCTCTACCTTTTCTGGTAAAGATAACATCAAAGCATTTATAGGTGAAATGATGTGATGTCTAGAATTTGTTTTGAAATAACGAGCAGGGGTGAGGATGGAGGTGAGGGAAACTGTTGAGGGAGAATAGGTGAAGCAAGATTGGCCATATGTTAATGGCAATGCCTAATAAATACACGGGGGTCCATTTAGCCTATTCTTTTTTCTTTTCTTTTTTTTTTTTTTTATGACAGAGTCTCGATCTGTCCCCCAGGCTGGAGTGCAGTGGCGCAATCTCCGCTCACTGGAACCTCCGCCTCCCAGGTTCAAGTGATTCTCCTGCCTCAGCTGCCCGAGTAGCTGGGATTACAGGCATGCGCCACCACACCCGGCTGCTCTTTGTATTTTTAGTAGAGACGAGGTTTTGCCATGTTGGTCAGGCTGTTCTCAAACTCCTAACCTCAGGTGATCTGCCCGCCTGGGCCTCCCAAGGTGCTGGGATTACAGGCCTGAGCCACCACACCCGGCCCATTGATCCTACTCTTTAAGGGTTAACATTTCTTAATAGAAAGTCCTTTTTTAATCACCTATGCTGGTGATCAGTGTCTTGCAAAACCAGCTGCACAATAACCTCAGTTTGGTTGTGCTCCATCCACAGGCTCTTCTCCTATATCCCCACATCCCCATCAAAGTGAGCACCTCTTCTTATTTCCACTGTCCCAGGAAAGAAAGTTTGAACCACCCAGTCATTGTCGCTGGCTCGGCGTATTCCGTCTGCAACTTCCCCGCCTCTTTTTACTCTGTCTTATCCCTAAGCCCACTCTCCCTTCTTAGGATCTTGTTTACAGATTTTAGACCGAGAATGGGCCTTCTTTTGTCATCACCTTCTCACCAGTTTCCAGCCATAGCCCACTCCACAAGCAGCCACTCTTCCTCTCCCCACCTTTTCTTTAGTGGATCCAGTGCTTGGTACTAGGAAGCTCTGAGTCAAGCAGTGCTTCCCAGACCACCCTCCTCCGGTCCCCTCTCCTGACCACAGAGGACCACCTCTGATCCTCGTCAGCCTCACAGGGTGGAGGACTGAAATAAACAATGCTTGGCCTCTCTGGTCCCCCCTCCTGACCATAGAGGACCACCTCTGATCCTCCTCAGCCTCACAGGGTGGAGGACTGAAATAAACAATGCTTGGCCTCTCTGGTCTCCCTCCTGACCATAGAGGACCACCTCTGATCCTCCTCAGCCTCACAGGGTGGAGGACTGAAATAAACAATGCTTGGCCTCTCTGGTCCCCCCTCCTGACCATAGAGGACCACCTCTGATCCTCCTCAGCCTCACAGGGTGGAGGACTGAAATAAACAATGCTTGGCCTCTCTGGTCTCCCTCCTGACCATAGAGGACCACCTCTGATCCTCCTCAGCCTCACAGGGTGGAGGACTGAAATAAACAATGCTTGGCCTCTCTGGTCCCCCCTCCTGACCATAGAGGACCACCTCTGATCCTCCTCAGCCTCACAGGGTGGAGGACTGAAATAAACAATGCTTGGCCTCTCTGGTCTCCCTCCTGACCATAGAGGACCACCTCTGATCCTCGTCAGCCTCACAGGGTGGAGGACTGAAATAAACAATGCTTGGCCTCTCTGGTCTCCCTCCTGACCATAGAGGACCACCTCTCATCCTCGTCAGCCTCACAGGGTGGAGGACTGAAATAAACAATGCTTGGCCTCTCTGGTCCCCCCTCCTGACCATAGAGGACCACCTCTCATCCTCCTCAGCCTCACAGGGTGGAGGACTGAAATAAACAATGCTTGGCCTCTCTGGTCCCCCCTCCTGACCATAGAGGACCACCTCTCATCCTCGTCAGCCTCACAGGGTGGAGGACTGAAATAAACAATGCTGGGCCTCTCCAGCTGGTTACTTGTTCTTTCCCTTATGAGGAAGACATCTGATTGGATGTGTGAAGCTTTGCTTTTACCACATTTTATCACTTTTCGAAAGTCTGTATTGGACCTGCCTCCTACTCTGTTTTGTATGTTTTTTGTTCTCCCAACAAATGGGAATTTAAGGCAAATCTATAAGTACTCCTGCCACTGGGATTTAAAAGTGGCCGGGTGCAGTGGCTGACGCCTGTAATCCCAGCACTTTGGGAGGCCAAGGCGGGTGGATCACCTGAGGTCAGGAGTTTGAGACCAGCCTGGCCATCATGGCGAAACCCCGTCTCTACTAAAGATACAAAAACTAGCCAGGAGTGCTAGTGCATGCCTGGAGTCCCAACTACTTGGGAGGCTGAGGCAGGAGGATCGCTTGAACCTAGGAGGTGGAGGCTGCAGTGAGCTGAGATCACATAATTCCACTCCAGCCTGGGCGACAGAATGAGACTCCATCTCAAAAATAAATAAATAAATAAATAAATAAATAAATAAAGTTCCTAATGACACTGATTATTACAATGGATTCAGAGGTTCTGTACACATCGTTTTCCCCACAGGTGAATCCTGTCTTGATTTGAGAACTAGTAGGACCACAGTTTGGCCTCAGGCTCCAGACGCATTCTCCAATCTAGCTTGTAGAATCAGGAGATATTAGGCTGCTCATAAAGTGTCCCAGAGATTTCTGTGGTCTCCATTTAACCAGTGAGTTGTGTGTCTGTGCACTATTGTGTAGAAGCACGGTGCAAAAGCAAGTAAAATGATCTGTAAATCTCTAACACAAACCAAACTCTTCCTCTACTTATTGCCTAATAACACATCATTAGCAAAAACCCACTGTTGGCCCTGATCTCGTGTCACAAAAGATTGATAACGTCATTGGAAACCAATAGGTACAAGATGAACCTAAATCGTCTTATGCCATATATCCAGGAAGCTTTTAGAATCCAACCTGAAGCAGCTCCCACTGTTCAAAAATGGGATACTGTGAACATCAATAAGAATAATGACGACAATGGATTGAAATATACCAAATATTCATGACTTTATTATAATACTAAAAAGCAAAAAATACTTGATATAAATATATTAAATTATCACATGTACCCTGAAAGCATGTACATCTATTATGTATCAATTTTAAAAAATAATTTTAAAAACTACTTGGTTGCTGTTAAGGAATATTGAGAAACCTTGAAAATATTGAAAACTGATAAAGGAAAATACTTATAAATCAAGGAAATACTAGTAAATGAAGAATGATAGAATTAGATTATCACCATTTTGCAGTCCATAATGTATTAATATAGACCTAGTGTTCATCAACAATAGTACTGACGTCATAGAGAGACAATCAGATATCATGTACTTCCTGATAGAAGGATACAACACCTGTAAAGTAATCTGGTCCCGCCAAATCAAACCTGAATTTGCTCTAGATCCAATTGCCAATTTATCAAGTAGAGAAGACAGACAAATACATTAATTATATATACCATGATGATGCAACCAGCAAAACCAGGATGTGGGAAATTCTACAGGACAAACAAGTTGGTTCCTCCAATAATTAAACTGCAAGGATAAAAGAAAGATTGGGAGTAAAAACTACACATTAAAAGAAACTTTAAAAACATGTTAGCCAGGCCAGGCGCCGTGGCTCATGCCTGTAATCCCAGCGCTTTGGGAGGCCGAGGCAGGTGGATCACCTGAGGTCAGGAGTTCGAGACCAGCCTGGCCAACATGGTGAAACCCCATCTCTGCTAAAAATACAAAAGTTAGTCGGGCGTGGTGGTGGGTGCCTGTAATCCCAGCAACTTGGGAGGCTGAGGCAGGAGAATCGCTGGAACCCGGGAGGCGGAGGTTGCAGTGAGCCAAGATTGCGCCATTGCACTCCAGCCTGGGTGACAGAGCAAAATTCCATCTCAAAAAACAAACAAACAAAAAACCCATGTTAGCCAATCACAAGATTCACAGTTTGAATCTTGACTCCTAATTCAAACTGTGAAGTATTTATTATTATTATTATTATTATTATTTATTTTGTTGAGACAGGGTCTCACTCTATTGCCCAGGCTGGAGTGCAGTAGACCGATCACTGTTCACTGCAGCCTCAACCTCCCAAGGATCAGGTGATCCTCCTGACTCAGCCCCCTGAGTAGCTGGGACTACAGGCGTGCACCACCACACCTGGCTAATTTTTGTATTTTTGGTAGAGACAGGGTTTCACCATGTTGCCCAGGCTGGTCTCGAACTCCTGAGCTGAGGCAATCCACCAGCCTCAGCCTCTCAAAGTGCTGAGATTACAGGCATAAGCCACTGTGCCAGGCCTCTGTATAGTATTTTTTTAAGGTCATTTATTCATTTACGGGAAAACTGATCTTTTCGACACTGGATATATGATAACATTAAACAATTATTATTATTATTATTACTACTACTTTTGAGATGGAGTCTCACTCTGTCACCCAGGCTGGAGTGCAGTGGCATGATCTTGGCTCACTGCAACCTCCGCCTCCGGGGTTCAAGCAATTCTCCTGTCTCAGCATCCCGAGTAGCTGGGACCACAGGCACATGCCGCTATGTCCAGCTAATTTTTGTATTTTTAGTAGAGACTGGGTTTCACCATATTGGTCAGGCTGGTCTCGAACTCCTGACCTCAGGTGATCCACCCGCCTCGGCCTCCCAAAGTGCTGGGATTACAGGCGTGAGCCACCGTGCCCGGCCAAACCATCATTATTTTAAAGGGACGATTATAGTATTATAGGTAATTTTTAAGAGCCTTTATTTTTAAGTATCTTTTAAATATACCTACTGAAAAAAATTATGAATAAAATAAAATAATGCCTTACATTTGCTTCAAAATTATGAGGGAGGTGACCTCTGGAGATGGGGACAGGATTGGCCTCGAGTTGATGGCCGGCGGGGAGGGTGATGTTACATGGAGATACACTGTACCATTGTCTACTAACTCTCTATAGTAAAACATTTTACAAAAACGTGTATTGTAGCTTAAAAATGGGAGATTCCTCTCTGCCTGGCAGGATGATTTATGGAGTTACTATTTTTTGTTTTTTCCTTCTGCTGTTAAAAGAGAAAAAAATAAGTCATCCTTCCTCACATCGTCTTCTCACCACCCCCTCAAGCGATCAGCGTGTGCTTTGAGTCCCACAGAACTGGGGCTTCACTTGCAAACGGGGCAGAATTAATAGGCCTTTGTTTTCAGAAAGGCTTTGCATGAACAAACAGCTGAACTGTCTGGAGAGAGCAGGTAGGGTCTCTGGGCCAGGAATGGGAAGGCTGTTGACAGGGCCTGTGGCCTGTGGCCTGGTGTCGGGGCAGGGCGGGGCTGCGTCCCAGCATCAGAAGGGTGGGCAGGGCTGGTGGCTGTGCTGTTGGCTGGCGGGCAAACTGGAGGGAAGAACTTCCCTTGTCCTAGGGTCTGGCTGTCACTCAGCTTTCTCTCCTCTAGTCTCACTATGGGCTTTTGCCAAACGTCATGTCGATATAGTCCCTTCAACAATCTGTTGAAAAAGCCCCCCCTTGAGAGAACTGCTCAAGCTTCTCACTGGTTTCCTCACAAGGGTCATTCCAGTTTCCGGAGCAGTGGACTGGGGAGGGGACAGGGCTGCTCAGGCGATGATGTAGGTGACGGAGCCAGTTTTGGTGTTCAACAGTTGTCATGTTCTTGGTCCGTATTGTTAGGTTTCAGAGGCACCACATAAACCCCCAGGCCTCCTCTTATTATGACTGGCCAGTAAGGGACTGGAGTCACACTTGATTTAGAAAAAATGAAACGGTGTTTCTGGGACAAGGGTGTGATGGTTGCATTTCACACCTGAGGATCACATGTTGCCCGTTCATTCTTTTCTGATAGTTTAAAATTAAGAACCCCAGTGCCTCTGCAGTTACCTTTAGGCACACCATTTTTGTGAAGGGCTTACTTTCGACAGCCGCCACACGGGCTCCGCTGGATCGAACTCCGTTCAGTTCTGCAGTCAGAACAATGGCAGTCAGGCCCGGCCTTGACCCCCGGCCTCCCTACTCAGAGAAGAATGGTCCTCAGGACTGAAGGTCACAAGAATTTCAGAGACACTGAGAAACCACAGCATCAGGACAGTTCACTCGGACTGTGATGAGAAGGGATATTCGTAGATTTCAAAGCAACTGAAAAACGCGGCGCTACCACTGGGTTGCACACAAAATACACTAGAATTTTCTAGTCTATGTGAGTCCAGCTTGCCTCAGGGACTCCGAAGGACACTGAAGAGAAACAACTGGGTGATGGAGGCCCTGGGGACACAGGATGGGGGACGGAATAGGACCTGGGATTGCCCTGATACTATGTTTGCCTTGTATCTTTTGCTGATCTTTCTCCTTCCCTATCTCTAACTTTGGGTTGCCCCCAGGTTCAGCCCTCGGAGCCCTTCTCTTCCCTACTCACCCTCCCTCTTTAGGGGATCCCATCCAGCCCCACGGTTTTAAACATCTTCGGTGCACTGACCACTCCAACCCCAGGCTCTCCGGAGCTCCAGACTTATATAGACAGCCTGGATGTCTGGTTGGCTTCTCAGTGGGAACACGTCTCAAACCACACTCTCGATCTTCCCCCTCAACCTTAACGAATAGTATGTCGTTGCTGAGACCTAAACCTTGTGATCATTCTTGGTGTCTTTTTCTCTACTTCCATCCCATCCACTGGGAAATCCTGTTGCTTCTACCTTCCAAATAGATCCCAAATCCAACCGCCTTTCACTATCCACCATTATCTCCCCGGCCTGAGACACCATCTCCCTGGTAATGTCCCCTAACTGGCTCAGCACCATTCAATGGCATCTCTTCTTCTCTCCACATTTAGCTCCAAATCCTTTCCTGGCCCACAAGGCCCTTCATGCTCGGGGCCCTGCCCACCTCTCCGTCCTCATCTGCTTCTCTCTCTTCACTCAGGCCACAAAGGCCTGGGGTGCTCCTTGCTGATCCTGCTGGCTGCCAAACACGTGGTGCTTGATGTTCCTCTACAAGGAATGCCCTTTCCCCATGCCCCTTCATTTCCTTCAGGCCACTGCTCAAGATCCCCTCCTTAGAGGGGACTTCCATGTCATTCTAGATAGGACAGTACCCCATCACTCTCACCCCTTATCCTGCTTCATTTTTCTTCATAGTGTTAATCCCGACATGACATATGTTTATTGATGTATTATCTGCCTCCTACTGTCAACCTCACAGCCAGAATTCAAGTTCCTTAAGGACAGGGACTTTGTTTTGTTTGCTAGCGCTGTTTCTTTTCTTTCTTTCTTTCTTTTTTTTTTTTTGAGAGGGAATCTTGCTTTGTCTCCCAGGCTGGAGTACAGTGGCATAATCTCAGCTCACTGCAGCCTCTGCCTCCTGGGTTGAAGCAATTCTCCTGCCTCAGCCTTCCAAGTAGCTGGGACTACAGGCGCCCGCCACCATGCCCAGCTAATTTTTGCATTTTTAGAGATGGGGTTTTGCCATGTTGCCCAAGCTGGTCTCGAACTCCTGACCTCAAGTGATCCACCCACCTTGGCCTCCCAAAGTGCTAGGATTACAGGCGTGAGCCACCACACCCGACCAGTTTACTAGAATTGTTTCTAGCATAGAATATCACTAATTAAATATTTTATTGAATGAATGAAGTTAAAATGACATGTACACCCTTTCCATGAAGTCCCTGAGGTCACAAGTTTAGGAAAATGGACTTCCCTACTCCCGGACATCCTATAAATACCTGTACCCAACCTCGTTATATAATTGAAGATATTTACTATATAGAGAAAATATTTATATTCATTCATTCAGCAGATATTTACTGAACACTTTGTAATGACAGATACCACTTACTAAGCCCTGTGTGCAGACAGCCCATCATGCTCAGAGTAAGCCTACAAGGTAGCTATGATTTCTGTCACTTACAGATGGGCAACAGAGGACAGACACATCACGTGACTTTCCCCAGGTCACATATCCTATACCTGACACAGCTGGAATTCAGCACTCTTTTCCCTAAGCCATGCTATTAAAAAGCTACTTCAGCATTAGCCTCAAGCCATCTCATTCTAGAACATTCTCACCCCCCAGTATTGGCAGCAGAATTGCCAATGTGAACACATAAAACATTTGCAGTTCATCCTGCCACTTCCTCTATGAAGTCCTCTGTGAGTCCCACAGGCAGAGCCAGCTGCTGTCATTGACCCCAATGCACTTTGCTAACATTGCTGAACAACTCTTGCTCAGTGTCATTATTGGTCTTCCTGTCTCTCCCATGAGGCTGAAATCTCTCAAGGACAAGGGCTATGTTTCATACTCATTTTGGCATCTCTGGTACCCAGCACAGTGTCTGGCACATGGTGAGAATCCAATGAATGCTGACTGAATGAGCAAATGAATTGCATTAGGAAACACTGTCACAGCCTAAGAAGCTGGCATTTTGGTGTGAGCGCGGGAGGCCAGTTGGCCCCTCGTCCCGCCTGTGTTGGACATTCTTCACTTCTTTTGCAGGCTTATTTCCCCAGTTCCTATTTTGTTGCTTGAATATTTGTGCATTTCCTGCTAAGTCTACTGTGCAATAGTGGCTCATTCTAATTGCCTCCTGCAAATAATATTTGTTCTGAAAGAAACTGTGTCTCTGGAATTCAGATTCTGTCTGTCATGTTGTGCTTTGTGGGCTCCATTTCATAGCAGCCGAGGGGTTTGTTGTTTCTATCTGAAAAAACAATCTGTGAGGCTCCAATTTGGTGCTTCCTGGAGCTAATCCAATTGAATCTTTCAGTACATTGCTGTGGGCCTTTAGAAAGCTCCACTTATCAATGGAATGCAAATTTTTAAAAGATCAATGAGATACTATTTTTCCCTATCTAATTGCAAAATAAAAAGCAAAAATATGCTGAGGAGGGTTTAGAATGTGGGAACAATCTTTCTGCAGGACAGATTGAAAACACATTAGCAAAAGACTTAAAAATAGGTCCCCATCACTTTAAAGGTGACCCAACAGTTCTGCTTTTCGGAATGTATTCTAAGTGAACAATTAAATTAAGATTTAACTACTAGGATATTGGTCACAATTTATTATAATAGTGAAAACTGAAAATTATTTAAATTATGAAGTATGAGGAACTAATTAAATAGGCCAGGTGTGGTGGCTCTAATCCCGGTTCTTTGGGAGGCCAAGGTGGGAGGATTGCTTGAGGCCAGGAGTTCGAGGCTGGAGTGAGCTATGATCGTGCCTCTGCACTCCAGCCAGGGTGACACAGTGAGACCTGTCTCTAAATTAATTAATTAATTAAGGTATCTCCAAACAATAAGATACTATCCAGTCACTCAAAGTTATGTTTTAGGTGAGTACACACTATCATGGAAAGATTGTTCCTTATGTATTCATTTAAAATAGCAGATTACATAATAGCATATATGGTCTGATCCTGTAGTATTGTCGTGTTTATTATTTATTTATTTCTCTTCCCCAATAGTACCCTGATTTCTCACCAGAGTATTTTCTCCCTCCAGCGGGGTGTAGCTGGTGGTTGGAGGATTCCTGCCTTCCACATGGCTGCCTAGAAGCAAGGTCCTTCCTTGCCTGCCCAGGCCAGACGGAGCTCAGCTCAGTGGGCTGTGTCTTGCAGGCCTTGAACCTGAGCCAGTGCAAAGCCATCCCCTGCAGCAGCGGCCCTGCACGGGCTGTTCCGGTTGTGTGATGTTTGCTATCCTCTTGCACCATGCTTCCTTGCCCTCAGATGCCCCCTTGGCTCCTGTTGGCCTGAGCCTGGTGCCCCAGTCTCCAGTAGGCTCTGTGAGCACTCTTTCCTCAGCCCAGGTGCCTTCCAGTGAGTCCTGCTTTCTGTCCTTATGGTCAAGGACCCTAACTGATAGGTTCCACAGTGATATTATTCTAAAGAAGTTCTATAGAGAGACACATCCTTGGAAAAAGCTTTCAGAAGAGATGAAGCAAAGCATTAGTAATGGTGGTTAACTTCTGTGGAATTAAGGGGTTTTCCTCTTCTTTTTTGTTTACTGGCATTTTCCAATTTCTCTTTATTGCTTGGGAGCCACTCTAGTAATTTTTAGAGTATTTTACACTTTACATTGTTTTTCCAAAAGAGCCCTTCCTGAGAAGATTCTCTAACGTAGCCATCTCACAGTGAGGTGCCCCTGCAGGGAACGCAAGATAACTCCTCAGGGTGCAGGAAGAAAACCAGGATTTGTTTTAATTTATATTTATGTTCTGTGTTAGAGTTAAATCTCATTGACATCTTCCTGGGGTCCATACAGCAGAAATGCATGTACCAGGAATGCACGTATCAGGAAGGCAGGCGGCTGTCCTGAAGGAAGCTCGGGGAGCCTTCGCTCGTGTACTCATTCCACCTTGCTTATTTCCGTGCAATCACTAACCGTACAGGTGGCCAACTGAGTGAAGGATTTGCAGATGTTATTTGGTTTTAATGACACCAGTCCTCAAAAACTGATAAGAGGCTTAAAAAGTTCCTAAAAAGTAACCTCGAATTGAAGATATCCCAACACCTAAGCACAGGGGGGTTTTCCGAGAACAGTGGGGCCGACAATTCCACCAGGATGAGCTCTTCATCATGTTGTGTAAGAACAAAGACAGGCTAATCGGATTTGATAAAGAAGAACTAAGAAAACTTAAACATTATCAAGACTAGTTGGAAAATAGACTTACCTCTATTCTCATTAACAGTGAGCTTTGCCTAAGTGCGGATCATACCTTGAGTTAGTAACCAGGAATGGTTACCAGCCAGCAAGACAGTTTAAAACTAGGCATTCAGAGCATGGAAACACATCTTGACATGTTTAAAAGCTGTATTTAAAGTCATGCAATACTCACCTATACTTCAGTACATTTCCTAAGTTTGGTGATAAATGCTTAGAAGCCTCTTTTGAGATTTCTTACTAATAGCTGAAAACTTAATGCCGGGGCGTGTGGGGGGAGCCAGCAAGATATATTTGGCATTTTGACCTGCCACACATATAAAACCATGGCCCGATTTTCATAGTGTGCTATTTTATCTTATCTCCTTCTCCACAGAACTAGGTTTGGCCTCAATTTTTCAACTTGTGATTTTTCTTTTCTTTTCTTTTTCTTTCTTTTTTTTTTTTTTTGTGAGATGGAGTCTTGCTCTGTCGCCCAGGCTGGAGTGCAGTGGCACCATCTCGGCTCACTGCAACCTCTATCTCCCGGGTTCAAGCAATTCTCCTGCCTCAGCCTCCCGAGTAGCTGGGATTATAAGTGCACCACCACGCCTGGCTAATTTTTGTACTTTTGTGGAGACGGGGTTTCACCATGTTGCCTGGGCTGGTCTCATACTCCTGACCTTAAGTGAACCGCTCACCTCAGCCTCCCAAAGTGCTGGGATTACAGGCATGAGCCACTGTGCTTGGCCTGATTTTTCTTTTTTAAGAAAAATAACAGTTTCTTCAAATGATTAAGAGTGTTTTCTCCACTAGATGAGGTAAATAATTCCTGCTGCTCTAAAAGTACCATGACTGATAGCACATTTTTAAAAGAAGAAAAAAAGAAACCTCTTAAGGCCTCCTGTTTTCACATTCTAGAAATAAACTTAACGCCTTATAATTAATAGCACCATGACAGCAAACCTCGGCTATCTCCCCACCAGCAGCCCAGGTATGCGCACGTTCTCTCCAATTAGTTTTCTATTATTTACCTACTTCCCCACCTCCCTGTCCACACCCAGGCAGCAGATCTCCATCCCTGCCCCTCCCTCTCTCTTTTTCTCTCTCCCTCTCTGCCTAGCTGGCTTTCTGTAAATAATTATTTGTGTCATAGCTTACAGCTTTTTAAACATTTTCACTTTTATTATTTCATTTAATTTTCACACCAGCCCCGAAAAGTGTTTTTTCCACTTTACAAATTAAGATGCAGAAGCTCAGCAATATTTTTTTATTTTTTTGAGACAAGGTCTCTCTCTGTCACCCAGGCTGAGTGCAGTGGTACAATCATGGCTCACTGTAGCCTCGACCTCCGGGGAAGCTCAGCAATATTAAATGTCTGGGCCAATTACGTAATCAGTAAGCAGCAGAGCCTAACTCCAAATCCCACACTTTCATTCAATATCAGAGCCCCAGGTAGTGCTTTTTACACACAAGCGTGCATAAGGATCCCCTGAGAATATTAAAAATATAAGTTTCCTGGACCCTACCTCCAGAGATTCTGTTTCAGGGGTCTGGAATGGGGCACACCTCCCATTTCTAACACCCTCCTTCCAGATGCTCCTGAAGCAGATGATTGGCAACCATGCTTTCAGAAATAGGCAGGCCTAGGAGGCAGCCACCATGCCTGGCACCCATGAGGCTCTCCGTTTATTTAAGCAGCCCAGGAGGGTAAGGTAGTGACACTGATCTTCAAGGAACTGTCTGTATAAACAGGGTACTTTCTTACATGGAAGGATTTAGAAAAGCGAAAGGAAGGAAGACAGGAAACTAGGAGAGAGAGATCTAAACACATTCCATCCCACAGAAAATACTCCTGCCCTTAACGAACAGTCGTAATCCCAACTAGCCTGCTATCTTGGACTCTTTTTTGTCTCTTGGGCATTTGGTACTTAGACACTGGGTGACTGCAAAGGGGACTAAATCTCTGCATTGCTTCTCAGGAGGGAGAAGGACTAGAGCTGGGCTCTCTATTTTACAGACAGAGGTGCACAGGAAGTGAAGCGCCTGATCCAGAGTGAGTCACACATGAAGCTGGGATCAGAGCACAAGATCGCCAGACTCTCAGGCCTGTGTGTCGGGTCCTGAGTCATGCACCTTCCCCAGCAGTGTGAGAATAGAGATGGCTTTCCACAGGGCCCGGCCAAGCTGTGGGGTATGGCAGGCTCTGCGGAAGCCAGGAGTCATGAGGGTAAGCAAACTTCCTGCACAAGAGGCCAAGCACTCTCCTAGTCGGGAAATGGCATATGGTGACTTACATCAGATGCTGCGGGCGAGGTCAGTGAGCTGAAGAGGCAAAATACACATTGAAGTGATTTGAGTGTAAAGGAAAATGTTCCCTTTGCAAACAAGGTACGTTTATTCTGCAACTTAGGAGATAAAATGAGATTTCTGTGGGGAGTCTATGTTGTGCTTTCTGGTGGCCTTAAAAGAAACAGACAAATTTGTGCTAAAGATAAAAATGAATTACATTCCACAAAGCCAACTCTATGAGACTAAACAGAGAGGATTGCCTTGAGACAAGATGTGAAGTTGAACATCAGTCCGAACTTTTGAAAGAACCCTCGAAGGTGGGGCTGGGGAGGTAGGCAATCTCGACGCAAGCTTCCTCTACTGCCTTCTGTGCAAGAGGGTGTCTCCTCGGAGACAGAATATGATGTCATCACTTGATCATCAAGAGATTAGGGTTCATTCACCAGACTGTACTTCTTTAATGGCTTACAGGTCTTAACGCAGAGCTGTCCTGTATGCTCCAAACAAGTCCGTGCCTGGGTCGACGCACTGGGCGCTAGCACACGCCTCAGTGCTGCATGTCCGTGCTGGCCCCTGCCACCGAATGACATGCCCCTGGGTATGCGTCCACCTTGAAGGGTATTTCATATCTCAGCCATCCTCCTTCCCCGCTGCAATGTGTTCCTATCATCAACAGCCTGTCTGCTGATGTTCCGAGGATCACCACACTCCTTTCCTCCTCCGTCTCCGCCCTGTCCTGAAGGCACGCGGTTCATCCTCATCTCTGGCTGGTGATTCTAGCATGCACGGCCGAGCCAGTGGCACATCAGGTCTCTATTTGGATTTTACCTTGGGAAAATCTCAGGTTATCCTGGGGAAAAAAATGATCTTGGGAAACTAGAGAAGGAAGAAATGCCTTCCATTCTTACCACTGCTGGAATTATCTGTCAGGAAGCCTTCCAGAAGTGACGATTCCTCACCACCGTTTTTACTCACTATTTTTTGAATGGGATGACCACATATTAATCATCTAAACTGGAACATTTCTAAGAGTACAAAGGAGACCTATTAATAATTACACTGGGACAGGTATAGTCTGGAACTACCACGGGCAAAGCAGGACAGACGGTCATCCTACCTCTCTAGGCCATGAGTAGGACAAAGACACGTAGGCCAGAGTCCAGGATGACCCCAGCTGACCAAAAAAAAAAAACGTAAACAGAAATAAGCTTCATTCTTGCAAACCTCTGACACGTGGGAGTTTTGTTATCACAATATAACCTAGAAAAAGCTGATACAGCCACTTACTGCTGTGTAACTTCTTGATTGTCACCTTTCTAAAATGGGGATAACTTAATAGCACCTGCACCGATGGGTGGATGTGAGGATGAAATGAGTTCATGTACGTCAAGCACTTAGGACAGTGCCTGCAACGCAGGGAACAGTCAACAAACGTCAGCCACTCTTACTATTTATTCACATAATAACACAGGAGAAGAAAAGAAACACTCTAAGAACACATCGAAGCGAAATTTCAAGGGAAACATATTATCACTCAGGAATTATCACTCAGGCAGGAAAGACCACCCCTTGCTACCAACACCAGCCACTTGCCCTTTTAGGGCCCCGAGCCCTCTCACCCCCTCCCATCTGTCACCCACTCCTCCTACCTGTTACCCACTCCTCCTACCTGGGTCTTTCCCTCATGCGTTAGCCCCACGGACACCATCGGAACTGCTTTCTCCCAGATTCCTCGGCCTTTGATTCCTTCCACCTCACGCACATGACAAAACCTTAACCCTGGTACAACAATCTACCTTTTTCTTTTCTTTTTTGCTCCTGAGCACAAAATCTTCCAGGGTTTCTTGAAAATCCTTACATGGGCTCTTTCTCAACTCTTTCTCCCATTTCCCACAAGAGATATTCCAAAATTACACCATTCTCTTGAAACTCTATAACCTACTACCTTCCTCTCCAAAAGGCAGCAGAGGCCATGAGGTAGGGACCACAAGCGTTGGTTCATTGTTCCTAAATCTCTTTATTGCTCTGGAAGCTGGCCCCTCCCTTCACCTTCTCTGTGGGCTCTCAGCCCTTGGACTAGAAATGAACTTGCTACATCCACCCATCTTCCAAAAATCACTCCCCGAGCCTGTTGTCCGTTTCCTCCTCTTCACTGCCGAATAACTTGTCCTCCAGGCTGCAACCTTCTCACATCCATTCCTTACTCCATCCACTCAACTCCATACCCTGTTGCTTCCCCACATCTGCTGTGGGAGAGGCCCTCAATGAACTCTCCATTGCTAACACCAATGGACGTTTTTTCCGTCTTTAACTTCCCTCTCCTCTCCACTACATCTGGCATGGCCACTGCCTCCTCCTTGCAATTCTCTCCGATCTTGGCATCCAAGATGCTTCTTTCCAGCTTTCCCTCTTCTCAGGCTTCTCCTTCCCAGTCTCTTTTGTGGGCTCTTCTTCCTCTGCCTTCCCGTAAATGCTGATATCCCCCATGGTTTTGTTCTAGACTGTCTTCTCTTCTACTTTCAAGGCATTAATACTACTTACATGCTGACAGTTCCAAAATCCAGGTCTCCAGCCAGATCTCCCTCCTATATCCAATTGATTATTGAATGTCACCCTTTGGGTGTCCCAAGGTGTCTGCACCCAACCTCATCATTTTGCTTACCAAATGCCCCACTTGCTCCTTGGACTTCTTATCTGAATGAATGGCACTTTTACCCATCGTCCGAGCCAGAAACCTGGGATTCATGCTTGACTTTTCCCAGTCTATCCCCTCCCACCAACCAAATAGCCTACAAACTGGTCTCACTTCTAGTCTTGACCTTTCAAATCTATTTTCCATGCTGCTTACAAATGATCTTTCTCTGTGATCTTCAGAATAAAGTCCAAACTCTCACACTGAAACCTTAACTCAGCACCTAACCCGATATCCTTAATGATACCGCTCCTGTTTACCACTCCAATTTCACCTCTCATCATGACCCCCAAATCTCCCACATTCCAAATATACTGAGCTGCTTTCAATTCCCAGGTGGTTCCATGTTTCATGACACCTCTAGGGTTTCTGGACTTGCTGCTCACCTGCTGAAATGCCCTGTGCCCCGCCACCCACTTACTAAACTACTCGTTTTAAAGTCAGGAGCTTCCTGTCCTGGGAAGCCTTCTCCGCTCACTAGCACCTTTCATCTTCCAGAAAGCTCTCTCCCTGCAAGGCTGAGTAGCTGCCTCTCTTCGGCACTTGCACGGGACCCTGAACATGCCCCTATCTGAAATGTGGCTGCTGACTGCCTTGCAGGCTTCCCTCACTAAACTGTGACCTGGATTCGTTAGGGACTCCGGTTCCCAGCACATCATCTCATGGTACTCCTTCAGTGTTTCATGAATGAATGAACAGCGACAGTCTCTTGGGTAGCAGCCGCCTCTTTTGGGGGCAAGACTACATGCCTGAGGAAGGCTCACAGCAACTCTAAATGTTTACATCTATGTAGATACACACATATAGTGGTGAAGCCATCTTCAAATAGAGACCCGTGTGTGTGTGTGTGTGTGTGTGTGTGTGTGTGTCTTGTTATAACAGAATATCTAAGTTTGGAAAATTGTTCACTTCCCTTTACTTTATCTTCCCCTTTGCTTGTAAGTTGCCATATAGTTGCCATATAAGATGCCAAGATCGGAGAGAATTGCAAGGAGGAGGCAGTGGCCATGCCATATATTTTTCCATTGTGACTGCTTGTGCTTCATTCTGCTCTTTCAGGAGCTGTACATTTGCACACCATAACATTTCTCAGTATTCTTACTCAGTATTCAGGACAATGCTCCCATGACAGATATGCGGAGTGGGTGAGAATTCTAAAGACAAAGGGAGAATTGCCACTACCTTACACTATCAACTTCCACTCAACCTTCTTTTCTCTAGTTCCAATGATCTCAACTCCTTTAGCTACTCCATAAATGGTGACATGCTGGATCAGCAAATATAAATGTTTACACTAAGTTATTATTATCCCAAATGATATTTGTAATTGGCACTCATAAAAAAATAAATTAGTAATATTTATTTTGATAAATCACCTTCCACACTCAGATTGATGAAGCATTTGTTATTGTTTAAAAAAGAAGCCTTCATTACACTGCTACTCGTTTTCGAGTGGTTCGTTCTGCCCCCTCTTAAGATCTTTACATGCCAAACCTTGGGTAATTAAGTCATTTTCATTTTGTCAGCTTAATTAATTCGAAGGTGACCTGAGTTTTATTGTAGAAAATAAACAACAATCCATTCTAATGTTAAAATGTTTTAAGAATAGTTTTTAAATAAATAGTAATTTATCATTCTGTAAGGCTAGACATACTAAATTTGGTTTAAAGTGTTACGATCATCTTTAAAAACAAAGTGTCTTAAAATAGTTATGTCACAAGGTATTAAATATCACATATAGGAATCCTAAGATAAGATGTGAAATTAACAAGAACAAGCAATTTCTAAAATTGTTCTTTCAATCAGAAATTATCTTTAGAACATTTAATTTTCATCTATCACCATCATTGTTATATAGTCCTTGTAATTAATTGAATTTGATTCTGGATCAATTGCAGCAGACAACATTTCTTCCATTTCCTCTTGAGAAAAAGGCTCACCTCAGAGAGACAAAAAGGAAAATTTATCATTTAGGATCATCTGATTTTTTTCTCTTTCCACTAGCCAGCTTAATAGCCATGGAGCCCCACAAGCTCCCACAGTGCCACTAGTTACGCTCCCTGGAGCTGTAGAGCCAGGACATCACGACAGTCCAGAGGTTCAAAGACAAGGCTATTGTACACCCTGGTAGATTCTGGACTTCTTTTAGCCTGCAGATGTCATAGATCAAGCAACCTCTAGAACACGTCATTTCAGGCAAAACAGTAGGAAGACATACAGACATCATGAACAAGGTTATTTATTTAGATTAAAACTTTTGAAATTACCAGAGGATTAACTTGAAGCCCCAGTATTTGATGAAAGATGGAAGGAAGATAACTGAGTGGTTAAAGCACAAGTTTGGATCCACATGCTGGCTGCCTCTCACGAGCTCTGAGATCTTGAGCAAGTCACTTCACAGCTCCCCACCTTAGCTTACCTGTCTCTAGAATGGGGGTGATAACGACACCACCTGTCACATAGGGTTGTCATGAGAATGAAACGTGTTATGATTTGAATGGGACTTAGAACAGTACCTGGCATAGAAGCAGCAACATGCAAGTGTTTGTTTAAAAAATTGTTCTGAGATCTTCCCGGCTGCTAAACACTGTCTGATGCAATACACATTCCTGGACACTTAGGGACTTCTATCTTGTAGGAACTTGATTCAGTGTGATTTATTTTATCATATGACATCCAGGGCTGTAGGAATGCATATTCTCAAACTAGTGTGTTTGATACTTTGTGGATATTAGGATGAATGTGCAAGTAGCTTGAATCCATATTGTTATATAGCATAAATGTACTTAAAAACAATTTGTAGAATTCTGAGACTCTCAAAGCAGCAATTCTTAAGCTCCTATTTTACCAAACTAGTCAACTGCTATTACACTTAGCTGATGGGTCTGTTATATTAAATCGTAACTTAGATTTGTATAGATTTACATCTTACATATTACTTCCAAACATATTGGTTCATATATGTGGAAGGTTTGTAATAATACTTGCTGAGTGAATAATTGAAAACATATGTATTCTTATTTGACCATACCTGTCCTATGCTTAGTCCGCTGAGATACTCAATAGTTGATCTTTAAGTACCATGAACTCTCTGTAAACATACCATTTTCGAAATTATCACACAGCACCTCCAAGTAAACCACGTGGTCGCACTGTCTCTGTATACACTGCGGTCTGTTCTGACCTTTCTGTTTGAGTCAGTCTCATTACCATCATACTCGCCATCGAGGGCAAAGCCTTGGTGGTACTTTGGATTCAGCTCTCAGCTTTGTCGCCTACACTCTGTTACTCATCATGACCCATGGATCCTGCCACAGACAGTCCTATTGTACCAATCCCTTCTTCCCATTGCCATTCCCACTGCCAGGTCAGGCCCTTATTTGGGTGCCCTCAAAATGCTGAAATAACCTTCTAAGTGGCCTCCCTAGTCCAACCTCTTTCTTATGCATCTAACAAACCGACCAGCACCAGAAAAACCTTCTCACAATCACTCACACACCATGTGAGTCATCTGCTCAAAAGCCTGTAATACTTCTCCATCGCCCACAGGATGAATTCCAAACTCCTGAGCCTGGGACTCCACAATTTAGTCCCAGTAAGTCTACTGAAGTTAATTTCCTGCTGTTTGCCAACATTACCCTCTGGGCCAGCTAGGCTTATTTTCTCTCTGAAATAGCATGTTCATTCCTACCTCCCCATTTTTGTTCAGACTGTTTTACACATCGATAATGTCTCCCTCTCATTAGCCCCTTCACCTGGTCTTCATCATCTACTCATTCACTCATTCATTCAACAAACATTTGTTGATATCTACCATGTGTGACAGAATTATAATGCACAAGAGTTTACCTTTGCCCTCAACAATTTAACCATATACATTCTACCATCTCAAAAAACCTATTTTCTCTTTAAGTCTTCCCAAACCAAGTTTTCCAGGCTGGGCCAGCCCTAGTTGATCTTCTGATATTTAGCTTTCTATTGTCTTGTATTGTGAATTATTTTATGTTAGTTTTATTTCCCAAATAAGATTGTAATATCCTTGAGAGAGGAAGTAGATTTAAGTATCATTATACCTTACTACACTTACTAAATATTAAACATATAGTAGGCACACAACAGTAGGAAAATCTAACTGTTTGGGCCATTTTGACTAAATTCATGTTGCCTGATATATAACCTAGGATTTACTTTCTTTAGACTAATCCTCAGGATGAAGAAGCTGATGCTTTGAAAGTCGTAACATCCCCATCAGAATTAATCCCGAAGGTAATTTTAACAATGGCGTCAGAGTTCTTGGGTGGCAGCTGTGACGGCCTTGCCATTCTGACCCTCACTCTCTGTATTCCGCCTTAAGGTGGATGAAGCTGGAATGGTCAAACCAGTTGTGCGTGTAGATGCAGTCTTAGTCTTCCCTACTCAAAATCACTTGCGCTTTTCATTCTGCCTCAAGTGATTAGCAACTCTGAGTCATTCAGGACCCAGTCTGTGAACCAGAGAGCTCTAGCTTTGTATGGGAGAAGGCAAGGGGACCAATATGAGGATGGTTTCAGGAGACTGTCCATCAGGCTACTGACCTTCAGTGTAAACAAATTTACACATCAGCCTAGCAGAGAGAATTCCTAAAGGAAATATGTTGGCATATATATATAAGTGTGCAGGTTTTATGTGTGTGTATGCATATATGTATGATGGGCCATGTTCAAAACAAATATATATGGTTCAATTAACATTAAAAAAGGACATTTTTAGTGTTAAAAATGACCTCAGTATTCAATTGAGGCTACATTATCTGTAACTTCACTGACAGAAAAGCTCTTTAAAAGGGAATTTTTACCAGCACTGTGGGAAGCCAAGATGGGTGGATCACCTGAGGTCAGAAGTTCGAGACCAGCCTGGCCAACATGGTGAAACCCATCTCTACTAAAAATACAAAAAATTAGCTGGGCGCAGTGGCCTGTGCCTGTAATCCCAGCTACTCGGGAGGCTGAGGCAGGAGAATCACTTGAACCCAGGAGGCGGAGGTTGCAGTGAGCTAAGATCGCGCCACTGCACTCCAGCCTGGGTGACAGAGCAAGACCGGATCCGTCTCAAAAAAAAAAAAGCCGGGGCGCCGGGGGGGGGGCGGAATTTTTATATTCTTTATTCAAATCTTCAATCTAGGAAGAGGCCTTCATTTACAGTGATCGATAGTTCATGTTTTCCAGATGGCATATCTTTTATTCTGGAAATGCTCTGAATGCAATGCCTGAAATTATAGAAGTAATCACTGTGCTTCACAAAATTCTACGAGACAACAACCCATCTCCCCTTTCCCTACTCTTTGTCCTCTTAACCCCCACAGAACAGAAACCATCCCCAAGCCAAAATAGCAGGAACAGTAAATAACTTTCACCAGAATGACTGATTTTAAAGTATCCCCTATAACTTTCGCATAACTGTTAACAAATTATTAATTCCTCACATAAGTCATTGTGATAAGTAATAAATCACACTTACCTTCTTCAGTCATATACTTGATCAGCTCGTCCTTAGTAAGAAACCCACGTTTAGCTGAATCTAAAACCTAGGGGAAAAGAAAAGATAGATATTATATTTTTCATTTGGTGAATAAGTTCTACATGATAAATTTTTCATATATGTGTGTATGTAAATAAATGTATTTATATATATGTATATGCATATAAGCTGGAGTTTACATACCTCAAAAGCTCGAAGAAGGACATCTTCTGGAATTGGTCTGTATCTATAATTATGCAATAAA
The DNA here is from genome assembly GCF_000001405.40 of Homo sapiens. Taxonomy (NCBI): domain Eukaryota; kingdom Metazoa; phylum Chordata; class Mammalia; order Primates; family Hominidae; genus Homo; species Homo sapiens. The sequence continues at coordinate 245,083,423 of NC_000001.11, read as the reverse complement.
ATGAGTAAATGCCGTGGTATTTACCGCAGTCTTTACATAATAAATCAGCAGTCTCCAACCCTTTTGGCACCAGGGACCAGTTTCATGGAAGACAATTCTTCCACAGACCAGGGGAGGGGAGGGATGGTTTGGGGATGAAACTGCTCCACCTCAGATCATCAGGCATTAGATTCTCATAAGGAGCATGCAACTTAGATCCCTAACACGCACAGTTCACAATAGGGTTCGCATTCCTATGATAATCTAATGCCAATGCTTCTCAGACAGGAGGCGGAGTTCGGGCAGTAATGCTCACTCTCTTGCTGCTCACCTCCTGCTGTGTGGCCCAGGGGTCCTAACAGGCCAGGGACTGGCACCAGTACCTGGCCTGGTGGTTGGGGATCCCCGTAATAAATGACCACATAAAACAAAATAGGGCTGGGTATGGTGGCTCATGCCTGTAATCCCAGCACTTTGGGAGGCTGAGGTGGGCAGATCATCTGAGGTCAGGAGTTCGAGACCAGCCTGGCCAACATAGTGAAACTCTGTCTCTACTAAAAATACAAAAATTAGCCAGGCATGGTGGCATGCACGTGCCTGTAATCCCAGCTACTCGGGAGGCTGAGGCAGGAGAATTGCTTGAACCCAGGAGGTGGAGGTTGCAGTGAGCCAAGATGGTGCCACTGCATTCCAGCCTGGGTGACAAAAGCGAAAGTCCATCTCAAAAATAAAATAAAATAAAATAAAATAAAATAAAAGCTGCTAACATACTGGGATGATAATACTTGCCTCATTGAAATCTTTTTGGATTTCTGGATATGAAAGTTGAAAATACCTCAGCCCCACAGGAAATATTTAGTGCAAAATCACTGACATGTTTGAGGTTATCTATTAGCTTTTTGGACATCAATTTATCTGGGCACAAGACTTCTATGATGAACCAACTATGGTAAGCTAATGCTATATTTTTGCTAGAAAAATATTAGGATTCTTATTTATCATTGATAATTCAAAACAGAAGATACTAAGAATGTTGATTTACGATCTTTATAGCTTATTTACCCTCTAATTATGCTTTGCTTAGGATAACACTAGTGTGGTTGATATTTCTAAGCAGGTACCAACTGCCAGTTCAGAAGTAGCTTGAAAGGTTAGAGGGAGGCCACCTTAGGACACACTGCTTGAGTATAACACACAAAGTGAAAAAGCCAAGCGTCCTGAAATGAATGGATTCATAATTCTGACCATTACTTTGCCTTAACAATTGCATTTACTTACTTACTTTCTTTCTAGTAGTATTTCTGTCATCACCGGAAGAAATTTTTCGAATCGAATGTATCCAGTGGGTTCTTCTTCCTCTACCTAAACATTCAATAAGTAAATAGCCATTTAGTCATTCAACAAATGTATTCAGCAACTAGTTGTTCCAAGCACTGTGCCAAGTGCTAGAGACTCTGGATGGTGAGCACACTTGGGCGTGACCCCTGCTCACAGAGATGGTCCTTTACTTTATCTTTTTAAGATTTACCTTCATCATTCAACTGGAGCACAGCTGATACTCTGATCAGGGAGACAGACATTAATCAAGAAACAGCAACCAAAGACACTGTGAACTGATGTAAGTACAGTGAGGGGAAGGAGCATGGGTCTGTAAGAACAGCCAATAAAGAACACTCGGCCGGGCGTGGTGGCTCACGCCTGTAATCCCAGCACTTGAGGAGGCCAAGGCAGGCAGATTACTTGAGGTCAGGAGTTCAAGATCAGCTTGGCCAACATGGTGAAACCCCGTCTCTACTAAAAATACAAAAATTATATGGGCGTAGTGGCGCACACCTGTAATCCAAGCTACACGGGAGGCTGAAGCAGGAGAACCACTTGAACCCGGGAGATGGAGGTTGCAGTGAGCCGAGATCGCACCACTGTACTCCAGTATGGGCAACAGAGCGAGACTCCATCTCAATAAAAAAATAAAAAATAAAAAAATTGCCGGGTGCGATGGCTCACGCCTGTAATCCCAGAACTTTGGGAGGCCGAGGTGGGTGGATCACGAGGTCAGCAGATGGAGACCATCCTGGCTAACACGGTGAAACCCTGTCTCTACTAAAACTACAAAAAATTAGCCAGGCATGGTGGTGGGCGCCTGTAGTCCCAGCTACTCAGGAGGCTGAGGCAGGAGAATCACGTGAACCCAGGAGGCAGAGCTTGCAGTGAGCCGAGATCAGGCCACTGCATTCCAGCCTGCGTGACAGAGCGAGACTCCGTCTCAAAAAATATATATATATAGATAAATAAAAAAATAAAAAATAAATAAAATAATAAAATAAAATAAAAATAAAAAAATAAAGAACACTTCTTAGACCAGGAGACCAGGGAAGTCATCCATGAGGAAATAACACTCCAGCTGATTTAGAGAGTATGAGTAGAAGGTAATGAGACAGAGACAGCAGGGGAGAGACAGTCACCTAGAGGAAACTGAATACGCGAAGACTCTCTGCTGACACATTGGCGGCTAGGAGGCTGGAGTACAAGGAGCAGGGAGAAGGCTTCAAGATGAGGCTAGAAAGAGAGACAGGGGCCCGACGGCAGGGCCTTCTTGTCCATGACAGTGATAAGGTTGCTAGCCTGAGAACAATGGGAAATCAGTGACGGTCTCATAGATGCATGTTTTGGAAGAGCACACTGCTTGAGGGTGAGGCAGCTTCTTCAGTAGTCTAAGCAGATATGACAAGGGCTTAGATTGGAGTGGCGGCCATGGAGAGAGAAATGGATGGCTTCAAAAAATATTTAAGAAGTGAAATTGGTAGGACCTGGTCCTGCATTCATTATGAGTAAGGATGGAAAAAACAGAGGATTCAAGGATGACTCCCAAGATTCTGACTTATACCACTGGGATAAGGTGATGCTTTTCCCTGAGATAAGGAATCCTGAGTGAGGGACCAGCTGAGGGGACCAATCACGATCTCAAGGACCAACTACATCTTAAATCATCATAATACGTATTAAGTACCTATATGGTAAATAGAACTTTGTCACACCACCACTAAATTAGAAGACTATACCTGAGAAAGAGAATGTTTGGCACTTAGCACTAGTAAATGAGAACAAAACAGATCCCTGCCCGTGGGTTCGACTTGGATGGAGTGGCTGAACAAAACACCATTGACCTTAACTTTCATGTCGGGCTATCTATAAGGAGCTGTACATTTTCCACTCCCTCTCAAGACTCCTATTAAAAGGCTCAAAGATCCCAATTCAGCAGATGAGCTTTGGACAGATTTATTCTTCGAGCAAAAACAAACAAACGAAAAACTATAGGTTGCTGCTAAGTGGAACACACCATCATCCAAATGACTCCTATTTTTTAATGTTTATACTAGATTCACACCTAGCAAGGTAGAACCCTCAGACTCCACTCTCGGCAGAAAATTCAGCGCATTCAATGACAGAATTGTGTGTTTCAGAATTTCTGAGCCCATCCATTCATGAACAATTGTCTTCAGCTGCCTCTAAGTCCAAGGCGAGCATTTTGCAGGTGAATGTTCATATGGCTCTGACGCACTTGAGCAGCACTCTGCAACTCCCCACCTCAGGAGCCCCGGGCAAATACAATGGCAATCCTACGAGGTTATCTCCGGAGGAGGAATTTTAAAATTAAAATGTTGAGTTGCTATTCTGATTACTCCAGAAATTTGCTCCAGAAGCAAGAGCAATGGTTTTTTTCCTTTCCTCCCACCACCAACAAACCACTGTAGAGCAGGCAGTCTCAACCTTTAAAAGACCAAAACCCCTCTTTAGCTTACATGCACCCTGATCAAGCTACGAACCGTGGTTTGTTTTTCCAAAGGAAGTTCAACTCTATAATTCCGTCTCCATCGTGGAAGAACTCACAAATGACACATAATATACGCCTCATATCGCTTCCCCGGGTTCCCTCACAACTTTCACAAACCCTCAGGGATGTGAACATTATGGTGCCAACTCCGCAGATCTTTCTTGCCTAATAGATGTTTGTGGAACCAAAATTATACGAAAATAAGTTAAAACAAAACAGCCAACTAGTCAGAACAGCAGAGGGGTCATAAGTGTTCTTTGTTATTGTTGTTTTTACAGAGGGACAACGAATAAACAGGACTTGTGGTTAGAAAAGAAGAAGAAAAATGATTATGACCATCTTCAACTTGGGCAGAAATTGTAAAATCTTTCTATGACCCAACACTGTCCTCTAGAGGCCGTATCCAATTTGTTCTTGAGTACAAAAACATGTATAAGCAATGGCATTAAAAACAATAAAATTATACAATAATTCTAAGTACAGAATTCATGGAATGTTTAATATAGACACTATTTTATATTATAAAAGGATTTTATATTTGAATAACCTTTGGATTTTAGAATAGTTTTAGATATACAGAAAAGTTCCAAATATAATACAGAGTTCCCATATACCTCTCTCACTCAGTTTCCTCTATTTTTTTCCAGTCTTACTGAGGTATGATGGACAAATAAAAATTGCATATATTTAAGGTGTGCCACACGATGTTTTGATATACATATACCTTGTGGAATGATTACCACACAGGCTAATTAACTTATCCACCGACTCACTAGTTACCTTTTTTGTATGTGTGGTGAGAATACTTGAGAACTACTCTCTTAGTAAATTTCAAGTATAGAATAATTATTAACCATAGTTACCACACTGTACATCAGAAATTGTTTTTCTTATCACTAAAAGTTTGTACTCTTTGACCAACATTTTCCCATTTCCTCTACCCCCACCCCCGGTTAACTACCCATCTACTCTCTGTTTCCATGAGTTTGACTTTTGAAAATGTAACAGAGATCATGCAGTATTTGTCTTTCTGTGTGTCTGGCTTATTTCACTTAGCATAATGTCCTCCAAGTTCATCCATGTTGTTGCAAATAGCAGGACCTCCTTTTTTAAGGCTGAATAATATTCCATTACATACGTGTGTGTGTGTGTACATATACTATCCACTCATTTGTTTATAGACACGTTGTTTCCATATCTTAGCTACTGTGAATAATGCTGCAATAAACATGGCAATACAGATAGCTCTTAGAGATTCTGATTTTATTTCTTTTGGGACTTATACCCATAAGTGGGATTGTTGGATGATATGGTAATTCTATTTTTAGTTTCTTGAGAAACCCCCGTACTGTTTTCCGTAGTGGCTGTGCCAATTTACACTCCCACCAACAGGTTCCTTTTTCTCCACACCCTCACCAACACTTTTGTCTTTTTGATAGTAGCCATTACAATAGGGGTGAGGTGACATCCCATTGTGGTTTTGGTTTGCATTTCCTTGATGAACAATGATGTTCATATACCTGTTGGACATTTGTACATCACCTTTGAAAAAATGTCAGGTCCTTTTTTCCGTTTTTTTTAATTAGGTCGTTTTTGTTTTTGCAATTGAGTTGTCTGAGTTCCTTATATGTATTGGAATATTAATCCCTTGTCAAATGTATGGTTTGCAACATTTTCTCCCATTCCATAGGTTGCTCCTTGTTTCTTTTGCATGCAGAAACTTTTTAGTTTGATGTAGTGCCACTTGTTTATTTTTGCTTTTGTTGCCTGTGCTCTTAGTATCATATCCAAAAAATCATTGCCCAGACCAATGTCAAAGAGCATTTTCCCTATGTTTTCTTCTAGTTTTATGGCTCCAAGTCTCACATTTAAATCTTTAATCCAGCTTGAGTTGATTTCTGTGTATGGTGTGAGATACGGATCCAATTTCATTCTTCTCCATGTAAATAACAGTTTTCCCATCATCATTCATTGAAGACACTATCCTTTCCCTATCGTGTATTCTTGGCACTCTTGCTGAGGATTAGCTGGCCATTTATGCATGGCTTCATTTATAGGCTTTCTATTCTGTTCCAATAGTCTATATGACTGTTTTTGTGCCAGTACCACACTGTTTTGATTACTTTTGCTTTGTAACATAATTTGTAATTTCATTTGTGATACAATTCCTCTATTGTTAACTCTTACATTATTATGGTACACTTGTCATAACTAATGAATCAATATTAATATATTATTAGTCACTAAATTCCAAACTTTATTTGGATTCCATTAGTTTTTCTAAAATGCATTTTTCAAATATGGTATATTCCAATGTCATAAAAAAGAACAAGAAGAATAGGGTAGATGTTTAATCATGCTGATACCTTGATCTTAAACTTTCAGCCTTTAGAACTGTGAGACAATAAATTTCTATTGTTTAAGCCACTCTGTGTGGTGCACTATCAAAGCGGCTCTAGCAAACATTATAACTAACATATATTCTAAGTGTATATGACATATTTTTAGCCAAAGACTTTGAATCACTATCATCAAGCAGAAGTCTGATCAAGTTTGAATCACTATCATCAAGCAGAGCAGATATTCAGAATTCAGAACTGTATTTCACGCCTGTAATCCCAGCACTTTGGGAGGCTAAGGTGGGCGGATCACGAGGTCAGGAGATCGAGACCATCCTGGCCAACACGGCGAAACCCCATCTCTACTAAAAATACAAAAATTAGCTGGACATGGTGGTGTGCACCTGTAGTCCCAGCTACTCGGGAGGCTGAGGCAGGAGGATCTCTTGAACCCAGGAGATGGAGGGTGCAGTGAACCAAGATCGCACCACTACACTCCAGAGCAAGATTCTGTCTCCAAAAAAACACAAACAAACCAAAAAAAAAAATGTATTTCACAGAGTTGATGCAGAAATGCAGAAAAAATGGTGCAATTGGGACCTATTTTCTCCAGGAGAAAACTCAATTATACTGAAATGAATTCAAGAAAGATTCCATATATTATATCAGACATGTTTGAAAAGACTACAAAGTCATTGCATTTCTTCACTTAAAGCAAAGTCGTGTTGGGAAAATCCACTTGACTTCTTTCTGTATTGGTCAGAGTCTTTTTTAAAAAACAGATGTTCTACAGTACTAGGTATGAAAAGTAAATAAAAAAGACATTACCTTTCTTACAGAGAAAAATCACAATATATTCCCCATGTTAGACCAATAATAGTTAAGAATGTTATTAAAATTCATCCTCTAGCTTCAGCATGCTCATGTCTAACAGGGGGACCAGTAACCTAAAGGATGGTTGTGAAGGTTCCATGAGATATGAAGGTGCTTTGTGAACTCTGAGAGTCAATCATGACGATGATGATGATGATTTGTACCAGCAGTGTACACACTTCTGGTTCTATGACATGCAATGGCACTTTTTCCTAAAAGACTCAATCGCTGGTGCTGAAATTTCAGGCACATCCTCCCCGACCCACAGTGTAGACCCACCTGTTTATACAGAAGTTTGCCTCTGCCGCCTATCCGTAAAATGCCACGTGGAATGTGGCAATTAAATAAGATAGCGCACGGAATTGCTAGGCGCATTCAACACCTTCTCCCTCCCCGCTTGTTGCCTCGCCCCATGTCTAGAGGGCAGGCTATGTGGGTTAGCGGTGATGCCTCCACCTCTGCTGTTTCCCCACATGGCCTCTTTGGACTGAAAAAAAGGCGAGAGTAACAAATATCCACCAAACTCCACATCCCTCCCTTCAAAAGACAGAAGCAACTCACAAAACAAATACATCTTGTTACTGCAAACATGAATGAGGCAAAGTAAGTTAAGTCTAGTTTGTTTCTTCTATGGGAAGGGCTAACGTGGAGTAATAATTTAAAAGTAAGCCGGGCAGCGTTTGTGAATGTACAGGAAAAACGTCTTTGCCAGAAGATCCCTCGAGTGTAGCCTGCTAAAAGTACCATTCGCAGGGAATTCATCTTAACAGTGTGCCAGCAGATGCTCACCTGGAAAACCAAGGCCCTGATACGCCTGGCTTCTCCTCCTGCAAAGAATTAAGGTGGAGTAGGTGACCTGAAGAAAATATACTGCCTTCATTGCCACACAAAGGGGCCCAAATTCTGGAGGCTAACACAGTGCCTTCCGGCACTCCACAGTCTCTCTCCTCCTCTTCCCCAATATGGAGCCATCTCAATAAATACTGTGGGACTTTTTAATAATATCAACATTTATCTCAGCCTCAAAGCATGTGGCAAATACTGTGCTTCTCACTCTACTTTGGTCTAAATCAATTTTCTTAATCCATTTTGGATTTGAGGAAATACAGGCACAGAGAGGTTAAGTGCCTATCTGAGGGCGTCAGGGTCCGGCAGGTGTTTTGACGGGATCACAGCCTGGAGTTCTTAACTTCCACTTGCATCGAGAAATCATCAGGCCATCTCTTTTCTCATAAAAGCATTATTTATTTTAATGCTGAACCCACTAAATAGGCACAATAAAACACACCGTGAAAATTCCTTTCTCCCCAGTGACATAACAATCAGTCAATAAACTGAACCATTTCATGCTTCACAAAAAACAAGATAATGTCAGTAGTTAAGATGGTTTATAAAGCATCTGCATTTCAGCTAGTTCCAGGTCACCAAATCAGATACACATGTGAATGTTTAAAAACTGTTTGTAGTAAAAAATATAAAAACCATGAGATAGTTCACATTAGGCTCTAAATAGTATAGATACAAATTTTGACATAAACTATGTTTCAAAACCAAAACATAAACACAATTTAGAAAATATTTCTCTACCTTGAATAGAACAAAATCACAATAATTAATTGGCATCTACCAAAAATGTTGTCTTTAAAAACAAAAATTTTAAAGCCACTTACTTTAGAAAAATTATTTATTCTAAAGATTCCAGAGGCTGCTGTGCAACCACGAGGCTGCACGAGTCTTCTGGGTTATAAATTCCTTTCCTATTTAAGTGCAAGTGTTAAAAACAGATGAATCACCAGAGAGTCTAAGAATCAACAGGTGGCTAAATCCGGTACTTAGTAAGATCACTTCCAACCGAGAGTTTCTCCAATTTGAAGAGATGGGGGAAAGGCTGCAGCAGTGCCTGTCAGACCATTAATTTCCCTGTTTTAATCCTCTGAGGGTGGGGCTTCAGGAGCACCAGCTACACTAATTGTTTCATCCTCTCCAGTTCCAGTTTCTCTACTTAAGGGTGAGTGCCGCTCCCACGCCAAGTAGTTTTATTGTATTTGATAGAGATGGTGATTGCAGCAAGTGTTGCAGCAATCATCTCACTAAGATACTCTTCAACCCCACTCAGACCAAAAACAATGATTTAAAGTTGTGTTGCAATATGATTGGAGGAAAAGCTTTATTCTTGGTTGTGATTAAGCAAAGGAGCAGTGGTTAACACAATAAATATCTGAATATACTGATGAACAAAAAGTGACCCTCCTTTCCCTAATAAGAAAATCCCCTAAAGGAGTTTTGGTCAAGTTAAATATATAAACTTTACTACGTCCACAGCTATGTTTCAGATCATGTATGTAACGACGTTAATTTAAAAATATTGCTCTTTATTTTTGCATTTTAAAAACCAACTTTATTCAAACTTTCAACATGCATCTTCAATAGTGTCTTTGTGACCACTAGACAACTTTTTGAATGATATAATGCAGTTTTCTTTTCTTCTTTTTCTTGTTACAGAGATAATACATGTTCTTTGTGGAACAGTGAAAAATAGAGACGAGCACAAAGAATACAAATCACGCAGGGATTCGATCCTGTCATCTACAGATCACTTCTGTATATACAGTGCTGGAGAGCTTTGTTTTAGTTTTATATTCATTAATACAATGCTATATCCACATATTATATTTGTGTATGTATTATATATACATGTATATATATATTTTAGCAAGAAATAGAATTCTAGCGTCTTTTTTTATTTACTTAACACTGTGAACATCTTATCAAGCCATTAGTCTTTTTTTAATTAATAAATTTGAGTTTGTTAAGAGTAGTTTTATGTCACAGCAAAATTAAGTGGAATGTCCAGACAGTTCCCATATGCCACGCCCCGTCCCCTGGATTGCTCTCCCCATCCTCAGCCTCCCCTACAATCAGCATCCCCACGAGAGTGGTATATGTGTTAAAAATTAATGAAGCTGGCCGGGCGCAGTAGCTCATGCCTGTAATCCCAGCACTTTGGGAGGCCGAGGTGGCCAGATCACCTGAGGCCAGGAGTTTGAGACCAGCCTGGCCAACATGGTGAAACCACACCTCTACTAAAACTACAAAAATTAGCTGGGTGTGGTGGTGCATGCCTGTAGTCCCAGCTACTCGGGAGGCTGAGGCAGAAGAAACACTTGAACCTGGGAGGCAGAGGTTACAGTGAACCAAGATCATGCCACTGCACTCCAGCCTGGGCAACAGAGTGAGACTCTGTCTCAAAAACAAACAAACAAAAAAAATTAATAGAGCTACATTGATACCTCTTTATTACCCAAAGTTCATAGTTTTCATTAGGTTTAATTCTTTGTATTAGGCTGTTCTTGTATTGCTATAAACACTTGAGACTGGGTAATTTATAAAGAAAAGAGGTTGAATTGGCTCACAGTTCTGCAGGCTGTACAGGAAGCATGGTGCTGACATCTGCTTGGTTTCTTGGGAGGCCTCAGGGAGCTTCCAATCATGGTGGAAGGTGAAGAGGCAACAGGCACATCACATGGCCAGAACAGGAGCAAGAGAGAGTGCGGAGGGAGGAGCCACGCAGTTTTAAATGACCAGAGCTTGTGTGAACTCAGAGCTTGTGTGAAGTCATTTATCACCAAGGGACGGCCCGAGCCATGCCTGAGGGATCTTCCCCCATGATTCAAACGCCTCCCACCAGGTCCCATCTCTGACACCGAGGATTACATTTTAACATGAGATTTGGGCGGGGACAAATATTCAAACTATATCGCTTTTGGTGTTGTACATTCAATGGGTGTGGACAAATGCATAACAACAAGTCTTCACCATGATAGTATCACACAGAGTAGTTTCACTGCCCTCAAACTCCTCTGAGGCCAGGCGTGGTGGCTCATGCCTGTAATCCCACACTTTGGGAGGGCAAGGTGGGTGGATCACTTGAGGCCAGGAGTTTGAGCTCAGCTTGGGCAACATGGCGAAACCTCATCTCTACAAAAATTTTTAAAAATTAGCTGGGCATGGCATGTGCCTGTAACCCCAGCTGCTTGGGAAGCTGAGGTGGGAGAACTGGCACTCCAGCCTGGGTGACAGAGTGAGACCCTGTCTCAAAAAAAAGAAAAAAGAAAAAAGGTTTCTTCAATGAATTTTCATGGCTTGATAACTCATTTTAGTGCTGAATAATATTCCATTGTCTGGATGTACCACATTTATTTATCCATTCACCCACTAAAGGACATCTTGGTTGCTTCCAAGTTTTGCCAATTATGAATGAAGCTGCTATAAGCATCTGTGTGCAGGTTTCTGTGTGGCCATAAATTTTCAATTCCTTTGCATAAATAAAAGGAGAAGAGTGCTGGGTTATGTGGTAAGAGGATGTTTCGTTTTCTAAGAGAGTGCTGCACTGTCCTCACCAATGGTGAAGGAGAGTTCCTGCTGCTCCACTTTCTTGTCAGCATTTGTTGTTGTCGGTGCTTTGGATTTTATCCACTCTCATAGGTGTGTGGTGGCATCAGTCTTTCACGACATACTTGTAATGACTGCACAGCATTCCATTCCACAGACAGACCAAGATTTGTTGAACCATTTTTGTGTTAATGGACACTCAGGTTGTTTCCAGTTGTTGTTACAAACAACCGTGTGACTAACATCTTTGAAGTAAAATCTTTCTGTTTGTTCTCCATACAGTATCTCCTCCAGAAACTGATCAATGAGCTTGTATATTTTTTTTAGCTTATTGATAAGTATTGCTAAAATGCCGTCCAGGAAGGGAGTATGAATACCACCATTTTCTACTGCTATTAGCAATGTGCAAAAGTGTCAATGCCAGGAACTTACCACTTTTAGAAACTCTTTGCCAATTTCAATATCCAAGGTTCATTATTTCTAAGTTCTGCCTTCCATAAAGCATGGACACGGACACAATTCAGACAAGTTCCTTGCCATGTTATAGCAACGACGTCCTTTCTTCCGGATTCCAATACCTCATCCCTCATTTATGTCTGTGACCTCAACAGAATTGCCTTTGCCATCCATATTTCTACCAACATTCTGTTCTTGTCTACTTAGATAATCTCTAAGAAGATTGAGGCTCTCTCTACAGATCTCTTCTCTGAGCCCTCATCAGAATCACCATTAGTGCTCTGTTCACAGCAATCCAGGCTTTTCTAGCATACACCTCAAAGTCTTCCAGCCTTGACCCCCAGTTCCAAAGCCACTTCCACATTGTCAGGTATTTGTTATAGAAATAGTCCCACGAAGATCAATTTCGGTCTTAGTCCAATTGTGCTGCTATGACGAAGTACCTTAGACTGGGTAATGTATAAACAGCATACCTAACAGCTTGCAGTTATGGAGGTTGGGAAGTCCCAGATCAGGGTACCAGCAGCCTTGGTGTCTGGTGAAGGCCTGGTCTCTGCTTCCAAGATGGGGCCTTGAATGCTGTGGCCCCCAGAGGGGATGAGCACTGTGTCCTAACATGGCAGAGGGATGCAAGGGCAAAAACTAGCTAATTCTCTCCAGCCCTTTTATAACATTGCTAATCCCGTTCGTGAGGGATCTACTCTCTCGACTTAATTGCCCCCTGAAGACTCCACCTCTTAATACTATCTCATTGGGGTTTAAGCTCCAACATATGAATTTTGAAGGGGCACATACATTCTGACCACAGCATCATAGAAACATGGCAATTAAGTTTTACTGAATAAAAGAGATAAATAAAACCATTTAGGAAAAAATTACCCAAAATGTACAAAGGGCTCCAAGCTGTCAGATATGACCCAGGGAAAGGATGACTATAAATTATTCCAATCTAACTGCTTACTACCATCAGACTGGTTTGTCTAAAGTACAACCTCCTTCAATAAAAACAAATACGAATTAAAATAAAATAAAATGCAAATCTCATCATGTTATTCTCATTTAAAACCCTTCAGTAACCCATCACTGCCTTGGCTTGCTTCACAAGGCCCTCTGGCATCTGAAAAGGGCCTATACTTTATTCAAATAATGTTTATCATGCAGGATCCATGATATTAAAAATTGTTAGCAACCTTTACCAATAGATGAATGGATATGTAATATGGAATATTCATTTAATGGAATATTATGTTTCTATTTATTAATATGGTCATTGCCATATAATTAAATATTAGGAAGCGATTGCACTCCTATTATAGTAGAATATTGGCATGGAAAATATTAATGATATTAGTATAGGTGTCCCTCTGTATCCATGGTGGATTGGTTCCCGGACTCCTCATGGATACCAAAATCTGCAAATACTCAACTTCCTCATATAAAATGGCACATTATTTGCATATAACCTATGCACATCCTTCTGTATACTTTATTGGTTTATTTTTTATTTAGAGACAGGGTCTTACTCTGTTGCCCAGGCTGGAGTGTGGTGGTGCCACGATAGCTCACTACAGCCTTGAACTCCTGGGCAAAAGTGACCCTCCTGTCTCAGCTTCCCAAGTAGCTGGGACTATAGGCACACACCACCAAGCCTGGCTAATTTTTAAAAATTTTTTTGTAGAGACAGGGTCTCACAATGTTGCCCAGGCTGGTCCCGAACTCCTGGCTTCAAGCAATCCTCAAGCCTCAGCCTCCCGAGTAGCTGAAACTATTGGGGTGCACCCCCATGCCCAGCCCATCTTCACCATTTTTAAGTGTACAGTACAGCAGTGTTAACTACATGTACATTGTTGTGTAACAGCTCTCTAGAACGTCTTCATCTTGCAAAACTGAAATTCTGTACTCATTGAACAGCAGCTCCCCTTTCCCCTCCGCCATTCCCCGGCCACTACTGCTCTATTTTCTGTTTCTAGGAGTTGGGCTATTTTGGATACCTCACATGCAGTATTTGTGCATTAATACTTATAACTACAGGTGACCCTCAAACATGGGTTTGAAATCCATGGGTCCACTTCTCCATGGATTTTCTTCTGCCTCTGTTACCCTGGAACAGCAAGACCAAACCCCTCCTCTCCTCGTCCTCCCCAGCCTACTCAGTGTGAAGACAATGAGGACGAGACCTTTATGATGACCCACTTCCACTTGTTGGATAGTAACTATATTTTTGCTTCCTTATGATTTTCTTAATAGTATTTTCTTTACTCTGGCTTACTTTATTGTAAGAATTCAGTAAATAATACATATAACATACAAAATCTTTGTTAATTGATTGTGTATGTTATTGATATGGCTTCCAGTCAATGGTAGACTATTAGTTTAAGTTTTGGGGGAGGCAAAATTATACTTGGATTTTCAACTGCACGGGGGTCGGTGCCTTGAACCCCCATGTTGTTTAAGGGTCAACTGTAGCTTGTTTTGCTTAGCATAATATCCTTAAGTTTCATCCATGTTATAGTAGAACAGGATTTCTTTCTTAAAGCGTTGGTTTCTAAAAACTAGATAACAGAAGGGAAAAATCATTTTGATGTAATAGTGAGTGAAAAAGGTAAAATATTCTGGTTGTGTCTGAGTGATGCACAGAAGAGAGATCATTCCCTTCCTTTTTTTTCTTGTGCAATTTAATCAGCATGCATTTTTATAATGAAAGCTTTGTAATAACATGGAGATATAATTTGTGATATAATTAGGTGGAAAAAAGCAAGATTCAGAATTTTACCTACTGAATTATACTATAAGATTATAGTTCTGCCAGGTATGGTGGCTCACATGCTCACACCTGTAATCCCTGCACTTTGGGAGGCTGAGGTGGGAGGATCACTTGAGGCCAGGAGTTCAAGACCAGCCTAGTCAACATTTCAAGGCCCCGTCTCTAAAAAAAAAAAAAAAATTAGCTGGGAGTGGTGGCATATACCTGTAGTACCAGCTATTTGGAAGGCTGAGATGAGAGGACCACTTTAGTCCAGGAGTTCCAGGCTGCAGTGAGCTATGATCTTGCCATAGTACTCCAGCCTGGGTAACAGAGTGAGACCCAGTCTCTAAAAAAAAGAATACGATAGCAACAAAAAAAATTACAGTCCAGTTAAAAACCTACACAGAAAAATAATATGTAAGGAAGTGTACCAAAATATTAACAATGATTATATTAAGGTGATGGCATTGTTGGAAAGGAAGTTCCTATTTATTTAAAATTTTTTGTAATCTGGATATTACCTATACAATAAGAAATCTGGAATAAAACCGTATTTATTAGTCTATTGCCGTGATTGTTTCTGTTCTATATAAAAACACGTTTTATTTATCTAATAAAGAAAAAACCACTTTTGAAGATTTCCCTGGGTCACGTTTTCCCGCTGCTGATCATGGCTTTGGCATCGTTAAATGTTTTCCTACCAATTACAAATAAGCAATACTCTCAGTATATGCTTTTTACAATATATTCTCCTCATTGCCCCAAATTTACCTGATGCTACTCGAAGTAATGGCTGGATGGTAGCCATTACTAACTAATCTGCAAAGTACCATCAGCTCTATAATTAAATTCCAGCATCTAACATAAATAAAAATTAGAGCAGATCAATTCCATTCTCCCCCATCTCCCAAAGGCAGGATGTGTAGGAACAATAACAGATAAAACATTTCATATCACCAACTACTTCAAAATAAGAACATAATTACTCCCACCCTTTCTCATTCTCTGAGAAACTTGATACAGTCAAATTCCAAACGATGTAAAGTCCCAGGGCTCTTCCAGAAGCTCAATGATAGAGTCCAGGCACAGGCTGATAGAAATTCCCACTTCACCAGGGTGTAGATTACGTGGATCTTGTTCTACTAACTCAAAAGCCAATTCCGAAGTTTCAAAGAAAAAAAATCCAAGGATACTTAACCAATTAAGAATAATGAAAGATGGAGATTTGGGACCTCCGGGGCTTGTGGTATGCCTGGAGTAGTATGATACTTTCCATCCAAGATGAAAAGTGTAGGAAATGATTCACTAGTGTCATTACATTATTTTAACTGGTTACTGGGGAGTATTTATCACACTTTGACATCATAGTTGTCTCAACACTATAAATGTAACATTAAACCACTGACCACAGATATAAAAAAAACTGTAACATTTGTTTATGGGTTTCCTCACTTAGCGAAATGAGTAGGGACTGAATACCATCTCAAATATTTAAAAATGCATGTATTGGGCCAGGCGTGGTCATGTTGGCCGGCACCTGTAATCCCAGCTACTCAGGTGGCTGAGGCAAGAGAATCACTTGAACCTGGGAGGTGGAGGTTGCAGTGAGCCGAGATCATGCCACTGCACTCCAACCTGGGCGACAAAGTGAGACTCTGTCTGAAAAATAAGTAAATAAGTAAATAAATGCCATTGCAGTCATTCATGGAGAAATGACAAGGCTTGGACTAAGGTGATGGATGTGGAAATGATGAGAAAGTTAAATTTATAATGTGAAGGTAGAGATGGCAGAAATGTGTTGATGTATTATAATATCGGATTTTTCCAGAAGTCCAATTTCAATTTCTTGTCACTGGTGAGTTTAATCCAGTTGCATTTATTATGATTTTTTTTTCTTTTTGAGATGGAGTCTCACTCTGTCACCCAGGCTGGAGTGCACTGGCGCAATCTCGGCTCACTGCAAGCTCCGCCTCCCGGGTTCACGCCATTCTCCTGCCTCAGCCTCCCGAGTAGCTGGGACTACAGGTGCCCGCCACCAAGCCCGGCTAATTTTTTCTACTTTTAGTAGAGATGGGGTTTCACCATGTTAGCCAGGATGGTCTCAGTCTCCTGACCTTATGATCCGCCCACCTCGGCCTCCCAAAGTGCTGGGATTACAGGTGTGAGCCACCATGCCTGGCCTATTATGATTATAAGTACCATTATCTTATGTTTTCTAGATACTCTGATTATTCTATGCTTCTTTTCTGTCTTTTTGGACTGACAGAATGCCCTCTAATTCTTTTATCCTCTATATCAGTTTGGAAGTTATGCATTCACTTTATACTCTTTTGTAGTTACACTTAATATTTACACATGCATACTTAATTCACTCCAATGTATTACATCTTATATGCTATAATTATCAGTGCTTTAGTCCCAACATTTACTAATGCTCTCTTTCTAAAGACTATTACAATGTCTCATCTAGATTTACATTATTAATACTTTTCTCAGGAGTACTGTTGCTATTTTCTGACTAATCAAATATCAATGAAACTTCTGTGTTAAGGAGGCAAACTGTATATCTGCATCTAACTTTACTCTCTCTCAAACCTTATTAAAATTGCAGTAAAGAAACATTTGTTAAAATAATCATACACCTACTTAGGAAGAATAGGAAAAAATATAATGGGAATAAAATTTTGGAAGCTGAGAAGTAGATGGATGAGTGGCAATAATCTAGTAGATCTAGAAAACTGAACCCAAGACAGTAGTGAGTAAAGAATCCTCAAAAAGCATTGGTTGCTTCTGGAAATGAGGATGAGGGACCAGGAACTAAAATTAGGGGAACTAGGGTAAAATATGTTTGAAAAGCTGTAAATTCCCTCTCAGTTTTCCCCACTAAGTGACTGCCTGCCCTCCATCCCTGCAGGAGTTTCGAGATTTACCTTCTAAAGAGTGTAAACAGAAGGTGTCCGAACTGGCAGCTAGACGCTTTTGCCTCCCAAGCAGAAGACTGAACACTCTATTCCAAAGAATCAAGCCTGCACGACAGAAAAATCCCCAACACTCCGATGCGGGTGATTCCCAGATTACCCAGTGATGAAGTTTAAAGTTGACAAGTTCCATGCATGTGTTTGTTAGGAACTGACAGCCAAGGTTTATCAGACACTGAGGAAAGCTACTAACAAAAACAAAGACCAGAACAGACACAGGTATCAACTTGGAGAAAACAGATTATGCAAAGAGAAGAAAACTTCAAATAAAGTAACACTATTATCTTCAGAGATCTGAAACAAGAACAGGATGCTATTTAAAAAAGAACATTCAAAGAACAAAAACAAGCTACTGGAAATTTAAAACACAACAGAAATGAGAAACTCAATAAAAATATTGGAAGACAAAGTTCAAGAAATCTACCAGAGAGAACACAGAGACAGAGATGGAAAATAAGTGAAAAATAAGAATATTAGGCTGGGCGCGGTGGCTCATACCTATAATCCGAGCACTTTGGGAGGCCGAGGCGGGCAGATCACTTGAGGTCAGGCGTTCAAGACCAGCCTGGCCAACATGGTGAAATGCCATCTCTACTGAAAATACAAAAATTAGCCGGGCGTGATGGCATGCGCCTGTAATTTGGGAGGCCAAGGCAGGTAGATCATTTGAGGTCAGGTGTTCAAGACCAGCCTGGCAAACATGGTAAAAACCCTGTCTCTACTAAAAATACAAAAAAAAAAAAAAAAAAAAAAAAGAAGAATGTTAAAGACTAGTCCAGTCCAGAAACACAAAAATGAATAATAGGAGTTCCAAAAAACAGAAAAAAGAAAACAAAATAATTGCAAGAAAACTTCCTGGAACCAAAAAATACAAGTCACTAGTTTGAAAAGGCCCACCAGGTACCTAACACATTAGATATGTGTTTACACCAACGTAAATCTTTGTGAAATTTCAAACTCTGGGGAAAAAAAACTGTCCAGAGTTTCAGGAAAAAAAAAATTAATGTTTATATACAAAGGATTGGGAACCAGAATGGATTTGCACTATCTCAATAGCATTACCAGGAACATGAAGATGAGCAGTGCCTTCAGAACTCTTACTGAAGACCTGAAAAATCCAAATCCATTTAATGAAGAAAAATCCATTGAATGTAGAATTCTATTTCCAGCCAAAGATTAGCATAATCACTTTCAAACATACAAATCTCAAAAATTTTACCCCCAAGGCACTCTTTCCCAAGAAGTTATCAAATAATATGTTAAAATGCTAGAGGAACTAGAAAGAGGAAAACTTGGGATAGAAAGAAGTCCAACCCAGAAGGAAAACAGTGACTCCCAGAAATATCACAAAGATCCCAGAATGATGGCTGTGCACAGATGTCGAGGTCAACCATCATATGTAAAGGGACAGTTTTGTTAAGAACTATCATTACCATGGTCTCCCTGCCATGGTATCCTCTTTTGATCCAAGAACAGAATTCCAGGATAAGCCTGGCCCAGTTCTTATCACTGACCTATCTTTACTATGTGCTGGTCAAGTTTCTGCTCACTCTTGCCCCACTCCTTGGATCTGATGAGGACCTTCATTTCATTCCTAAGTAGTTTTATGCTTTGATCTAATCCTGAAAGCCAGGGGTAGGCCCTAGTGAGTTTAGAAATAAAATATATAGAGCAGCCAACTCCTTTTGGTCATATTCTACTGGACACTTAACACCTGATTCGCATTACAGCTCTTCCAGACGACAACTATGGCAGCCATGAAAATTCAATTTTCTTTCTCTTTTTTTAAAAAAAAGTTGAGATCTGGGCCGGGCGTGGTTGGTCACGCCTGTAATCCCAGCACTTTGGGAGGCCGAGGAGGGCGGATCACCTGAGGTCAGGAGTTCGAGACCAGCCTGGCCGACATGGTGAAACCCCGTCTCTACTAAAAATATAAAAATTAGCCGGGTGTGGTGGTGCGTGCCTGTAACCCCCAGCTACTCGGGAGGCTGAGGCAGGAGAATCACCTGAAGCCAGGAGGCAGAGGTTGCAGTGAGCCGAGATTGTGCCACTGCACTCCAGCCCGGGCGACAGAGTCAGACTCCATCTCAAAAAAAAGAGTTGAGATCTGGCTCTGTTACCCAGGCTGCAGAGCAGTGGGCCACCATTGTGCCTCATTCCTGAGCTCAAGCAATCCTCTCACCTCAGCCTCCCAATGAAATGCACCTCTTAAATCTACAGTTGCAGGAAATGTAATTGAATGATGATCCTAGCCATCATATTTGAGCCAAGGCCATCCATCCAATGGGCTGCTCCAGGCAATAATGAAGTGTTAAATCCCAGCATAATCTGGCTGAGGAAGTGCTGGGCCTAATAAGGAAAGAAAAAGACTATACACTAAAATCGCAAAAGGAATTAGATAGGAATTGGCTCCTGAACTAGGAGCTAGGGGAGTACCCCTGAGATTGGATGAGAGTGCTTGACCAAGAGGTCTGGAATATAAAACTGGATAAGCAAGAATTCATCGACTTCAGGCACTTTCTCAGGACACAGACTTAACACTCTGGCAAGGACCCTAGGAGATGGGGCACCCTTGCTGCGAGGGTGAGACCTGGAACAAGTGACACCAAACCCTGAGTGAAGTGGAGACCTGGAACAAGCGACACCAAACCCTGAGTGAAGTGGCAAACCAAGCTGACGGAAGTGGGAGGGCAGAATGGGCATCTAATGAGTCAGAAGACTCACTGGAGGATTCTGTTCCATGGGAGGGCTCAGATGCACTGCTCACCAAGGGTATCAGGCTGGTGAGAAAGGCACTGGTGTCACTAAGTTCTGTGATGGTGTCTTCTGCAAGCCAGGGTTGACTAGATTAGGTAATTGTAGACCTGGGTTTGTTAAATCCATGTAATGATTTGCTAGCCAGCTCTCCTACACCCAGGTAACAGAGGCCAAGCAGAGTTGTTTGAGCACAGAAGTTAAGAGGCCTCATATAATGAGCAGACAGATTGAAGAGGGAGTCACGGGGAAAGGTGGAGATGGTTAATAGAACATAGCACGCTTAGGAGCAAAACAGATGTGGAGCCAACAAAGGTGCTGCCTAACATCTACAACCAAAAAAGGGCAAGGATGGGGAAGGGGAGGATGCAGATGGTCACCCCAATAAAAAGTCATAATCCGTGCTTAGTGCCTAAGCCTGAGTCAATAATCTGACAAACATAGGTCTTACTTTTAAATCATCTTTTAGTTTTCCTTTGTAATTAGTTGAAGTTCTCCATAATTCCACTTAGGTTGGAACTTCAGAAGACATAGACCTCTAAATAACCTTTCCATTTGTATGAAAATGCCATTATCTCCTCCCAGCTCCCATACCCTGAAGATCCTAGAAGGCGCTAACTTAATATTAAAAGAAGGATTATTTGGTAGCCTATATGTCGGTAAGATTTTTCACTAATCCTTCTCACAGTTGCCAGTTTTTGTGATATTCCAAAAGGCAGAAAGTATTTGCAGGAAGTTGCTATTTATAGAATATAAACTGCATGGATCAAAGTTAAATGATTTTTAAAATGATCTATTTCAAGAGAAACACCATATTTGAAATTGATCTTCAGGAAGCAAAGGGCTGAAAGTTATAAAAATTAAAGAGAAAAGAATGTGTCTACACTAAAGTTCAAGTACATGACAACCAGAGAATTTTACAAAGGTTTCAACTTTTTATAGGACTATTTTTTGTTTGTTCGTTTTTTTGAGACAGAGTCTTGCTCTGTCACGCAGGCTGGAGTGTAGTGGTATGACCTCAGCTCATTGCAACCTCTGCCTCCCAGGTTCAAGTGATCCTCCTCCCTCAGCCTCCCAACTAGCTGGGATTACAAGTGTGTACCACCACACCCAGCTATTTTTTCTATTTTTAGTAGAGACAGGACTTCACCATGTTGGCCAGGCTGGTCTCAAACTCCTGACCTCGAGTGATCCACCTGCTTCAGCCTCCCCAAGTGCTGGGATTGCAGGCGTGAGCTGCTGTGCCCAGCCTTATAGAGCAATTTTAAAGCATATACACACATACATTTAAATAGTTTGATCTCTGAAACTATTATAGAACATTTAGCAATATGACATTTACCCCTAGATGTTGACTTTTACGGGGCTTTGATTTTCTAAATGTGTTTACATGTATTCACTATTAAATGTATTTAAATATGTACAAATACATACTTGTATTTATCAATTCAAATTTGTGCTTTTTTTATGTGCTTTTTTCCCACCCATTTATTTGGAAAAGTTCTTAAAAGGTAGTTATACCCAAAGCTGTTTATCAGTAGAATTTAATTAGAGTAAATTGTGTTCGTATACAAATATAGAAAAATATTTACAGAGCTTAATAGCTCAGTGACCCCTACTGGTACATAAGTATTCTAAATATCTGTAATTTTCAAAGGTTGTGTCATGTCCCTAAAAAAGGGTAAAAATAAAATAAAACTTTAGGACCTAAGCACCCACTGTGGCTAACTGCCCAAACCAGTGGGGATTATTATCCTAGAGAGCCACCAGCAGTGCAAGCAAACTCAAGTATGTACTGCATGCCCACCAAGTAACAGTTGATTCCTCGGTTATTAAATTTAATCCTCATAAAAA
Source organism: Homo sapiens (assembly GCF_000001405.40). Classification (NCBI taxonomy): domain Eukaryota; kingdom Metazoa; phylum Chordata; class Mammalia; order Primates; family Hominidae; genus Homo; species Homo sapiens. The sequence continues at coordinate 245,061,220 of NC_000001.11, read as the reverse complement.
CATTTTCATGTTATTATACTCCTTTTGCAGATGTGAAACGAAGCTTTGAAGGATTAAGTGGCTCATTGAAGGCCACATGGCTATAAGTGGTAGCTGTGGAGTTTGAACTCAGATCTTCTAGTACTAGATGTGGTATTTGTTCTACTTTGGCACAGAAGCCCATAGATCAGGAGTTGGCAACCTTTTTCTGCAAAGGCCAGATGGTAAATATCTTAAGCTTTCCAAGCTGTAGGTCTCTGTGGCAACTACTGAACTCTGCCCTTGTAGTCAGGAAACAACCATAGATAATATACAAATAAATGAGTTTAGCTGTGTTTCAGTGAAACTTTATTTACATGCACAGGCGGTGGGCAGGATTTGGCCAGGGGCCATGATTTGCTAACTCCTGATAGAGATTAAAACATACAAACAAACCATAAAGGGACTAGACTCTAGAGATCCTCCTTTTCTGACCTTCGGAGGTATTTTTCATTATTGCTTCACTTACTATCCTGAGCATGTGATGATGATGATTTCGCTGTAAATTCGTCCTCTAGTTCTTACCTCTTCCACACTTCCAGCTTGCTTTTCCCTAACACTAATTCCAGCTTTGTGCAGAAACACTTTAAGGCAGTAATCAGTATCTTTTTTTAATGTGAGCATCAATTCAGGAAAAACAAGCTTTTCCTCTTACTCTTGGTAAAAATAGCTTTATTGAATCCCAAAAGGTAAAAACAATGTGTTCTTACAACTTAGATTCCTTTACTGAATATTTCCAAATGCTTCAAAAAATTGCTACTGCTTTTTGGTCACCAAGGTGCTAATATCTGTGCAGCAGACTCATCTTTCTAATCTTCCCTTCCTTAACTTTACATAATGCTTTAGGATTCAAAACATGCATTCTTGTACCTTCTTTCATTTATCTTTGAAGCAAACTTTGAAGTAGTTATTATTATGGAGAAACTGACACTCAACAGGGGTTAAGTGACTCACCACGGTCACAATTCCTTCTCTCCAACTTAATGTTGAACAAGCAGGTACTGCGCTAGGTGCAAAATAAAGAGATAAAATTCCACCTCCTCACCTGTCTCCTGTTATCCCCTTTGCCATCCCCAGACTCCACTAAAATCTTTGTGCCTAGATAAGCAATTCTGAAAAGATTCTTCTCCTGGCCAGGTAGCTTTTTTCCCTTAAAGTCTCTGTTGTTGAACCGAATGCTGCATTTGAAATGAGATCAGAGACCTTTCTGGAAAGTCAAACAGAGCATGAAGCACTCTCATCGTGGGCTGCTCATCCACTGCCTTATGGGATCATTCACCTCCACTATTACACATGACTCGTTTTTAAACTTCTTAGACTCTCTGGTCAATGTAAAGTTCATTCTTGATATTTTATTCTGTTTACTACTTGTTCTAAAAGTTAGTTTTATTTCCCCAAATAAATAAAAATTCCTTACTGTCTCTGTCAATAGCCTTTCTGCATACGGTCAGCCCCTTGCATCTACTGGCCTCTTTTCAACTAATTTTACAGAGAGGATCATTTCTACAGTGGGTTCTTTATTTGATCAGTTGTGTTACTTGTTCATAGTCATTTCTTCAAGATCTGCTCAATTCTTTCAGATTTTGTTGGTTGGCTAATATGAATAGTTATCCTAATATTTCCACTGAGCACATTCAGTAGTTTGGGGCACTTTTTTTTAGTTTCCGGTAAGGATTGTTTTTAATTACAAGGAGTAGCTCTCACACAGAGAGCTGGCTGAATGAAACCTTTTCGCCGTACTCACCTCTGCAATCAGATCATGCAGCTCTCCTTCCGTAGGACAGCATCCTAATGACCTGATAATTGTTCCAATCTCTCTGGAAAAAAAAAAGTTTTCAATGGTTTTAGAATATAAACTCCGAAAAGGCCAGGTTTCTCCAAATTATCTCAGAGCATATTTTGTAATGTAGGAAACCAAATCACTCCGATATTGCCTCATGATTATAAAAGATGTTTTCTGGGGAAAGAAAAAGGAGGATAAGTGAACCAAAGAAAGATGAAAGAAATGGTTTCATTGACTGGCAAATGCCTTGCCTGGGCCAATATAAAAAAGTTCTAGAAAGAAAAAGAAACATTGGCCATGTACCAACTGACGTTAAGTGTTACTTAACTCTTTTGAGCCTCAGTTTCCACACCTGTAAAATGGGGATGATAATGTCTACCGCAGAGTTTTGTGGTGAAGTTGACATTAGTATCAGAGTGTTAAAAGCATGGCCTCTAGCGCCAAACCACTAGGGTTCAAATCCCAGCTCTGTGACTTACTAGATTGGAGAGATCACCTACCTAATCAATGTGTGCATAAGCCTACCTGGTAGGTAAAACACAGTGACTTCCTTCAAACACTAAGAACCAGGAAGGGGGATACACTAAGGGTTAAATAAGAAGAGCTATCATAATACAAAGCACATCTCCTGGCAGAGCAGCGACTCAATAAATATGAGTTATTCACCTCTCCCTGCCCCCATCATAACGTAGTTCAATTCCACAAATAACCTAAGAAAAGTATAAATGCTATTCAATACTCTCTGAATATTAAGACAGGGATGTGTAATTGATTACGAAATACTTCCATTCAAAATTATCAAAATTAAAGTTGTAATGTTTGAATGTTAATTTAATTTCGCAAATATTCACTTAACTAGAGTAGTTAATTTCTTTACCACTCTGGATAATTTTAGTGGTATTATATTTACTCCCTATTTACAAAGAAAACGTTTTAAATAAGAATTTTAAATTTCTTCACTGAAAGAGGTTGCAGAATAAGTATCAACTTAAAAGTGAAACCTAAAGTCAGTAACTGTGGAATATAGGATTCTTTTCACTTACTCATCTTCCTTCTTAATAAATGAAGGGCCAACAAAACATGTACTATCCTCATGTCAAGTATATTTCCTTTTTTCCCATTTTCTTGTTTTTTTTCTTTCATATAGCAAAGATATTATTATTATTATTATTATTTTTAGAAAGGGTCTTGCTTTTGTTGTCCAGGCTGGAGTGCAGTGATGCAATCTCAGCTCACTGCAGCCTTGACTTCCCAAAACTCAGGTGATCCTCCCACCTCAGCCTCCCAAGTAGCTGGGACTACAGATGTGCACCACCATGCACGGCTAATCGCACATTCTCACTCTTATTGCAGGCAAGAGTTTTGAAGGAGGGCAACACAAATCGCACATTCTCACACTTACTGGAGCTAAATAAGTTGGTCTCAGGGAGGTAGAGAGTAGAATGATGGTTACCAGAGGCTGGGAAGGGAAGAGGAGAAGGAGGACAAAGAGATATTGGGTTAATAGGAACAAATATATTAGTTAGATAGAAGGAGTAAGTTCCAGTATTTGATAGTACAGTAGGAAAATTAGAGTGAACAATTTATTCTATTTTCAAAATAGCAAGAAGAGAAGAATTATAATGTTCCCAACACAAAGATAAACGTTTGAGGTGATGGATATCCCAATTGCCCTGACTTGATCATTACACATTGTATGCAGGTATCAAAATAGCCCACGGACCTCATAAATATGTACAACCATGATATATCGACTTTTTAATTACCAAAAAAAAAAAAAGATTTTTGAAGGAGACAAGATTGGGAAAAGACAAATTCTAGGCCCGTGCTAGACCAAACAGCAGCCACCAACTACATCTGGCTATTATGCATTTGAAATGTGACTACTGCAAATGGAAATGTACTGTCAGTGTAAAATACACACTGATTCCAAAAGCTTAGTATGAAAAAGAAAATGCAAAATAGCTCATTAATAATTTTTAATATTGGTTACATGTTGAAATGATAACACTTTAGACACATTGGGTTAAATAAGATACGTTGTTAAAATTAATTTTACTTGTGTTAAATTATTAGGCTCGTGCAAAATTGTGGGTTTTGCCATTAAAAGGGCAAAAACTGCAATTACTTTTGCACCAACCTATATAAGTTTCGCCTAAAGCTGCCTCCTTACATGTTTTAAGCTTGACCTAGAGGTTTCCGCATATATAGTGAACTGCAACCTAACCGGATGTTACAACAGACATAACCTACTCATGCCCCAATCACAGAGTTTCGGCCAATCACAGCCAACGGTTCAAACCTTGTTCAAAGGAGGCCAACTTCGAGCTGTAACTACACCAGCTGTTTCTGCACCTCACTTCCATTTTCCGTACATCACTTCCCTTTTTTTGGAAGGGTGAGCTGATTCTCAGATGGTTCTTTGCTCAATTAAATTCTGTTAAATTCAATTTGTCTAAAGTTTTCCTTTTTCTTTTTTTTTTTGAGATGGAGTCTTGCTCTATCTCCAGGCTGGAGTGCAGTGGCACAATCTCGGCTCACTGCAACCTCCATCTCCCGGGTTCAAGCAATTCTCCTGCCTCAGCCTCCTGAGTAGCTGGGACTACAGGCATGGGCCGCCACGCCCAGCTAATTTTTTGTATTTTTAGTAGAGATGGGGTCTCACCATGTTGGCCAGGATGGTCTTGATTTCTTGACCTCGTGATCCACCCACCTCAGCCTCCCAAAGTGCTGGGATTACAGGCGTGAGCCACCACACCCGGCCTTGTCTAAAGTTTTTCTTCCAACACCTGTTTCTTTTTTACTTGAAAAAATGTGGCTAACAGAAAATGGAAAATGATAGACTATGCAAACTCCTTCTGGACAGGGCTTTTCTAGGGAAGAGCTTCCATCTGGAGTCAGACTGAGAAGAGAGCAGATAAGGAGAAAGTGAGAATTCCACTGTGCTGTGTCAGCAACAGAAGCCTCCATGTTCCTCTCTGGGACACTCCCAGCTACTCAGGAGGCTGAGGCAGGAGAATCGCTTGAACGCAGGAGGCGGAGGTTGCAGTGAGCTGAGATGGCACCACTGCTCTCCAGCCTGGGCAACAGAGTGAGAATCTGTCTCAAAAAAAAAAGTATTAAGCAAATGTAAGGTATGGAAATTTGTGTCACAATCTCACATACGGTACTTGAGTAACCTGAGTATAAAATGTCTACCTTGGGTACAGTATTAACAGGATACAGGAGGAGCTGGTAACATTAACTGGAGGGTGGAGAATGCCTTGGAGGAGAGCAGGTGGCAGGGGCAAAGGCTGGAGGAAGTCTTTTCAGCATCTACCTTTTGAATCTTTTGAATTACAAACAAATGAATACATACATTTTAAATTAAGTAACTTAGTCTCAGCTACTAGGAAGGCTGGGGCAGGAGGACGGCTGGAGGCCAGGGGTTCAAGGCTGCAGTGAGCTATTACACACCTGTAAATGGCCACTGCACTCCACCTGGGCAGCACAGCAAGACCCTGTCTCTAAAAACATTTCGTAATAAAACAACTTACAACTTCATAAAATGAATATTCTAGCTGGATGATAAAAGGCTGTAATTGTCTTAAACACATAAGAGAAGCACAGTCTGACCCAGGGATAGGCAGCGAGCGGCAAGAAGAGCAAATAAACCTAAGAGAGAGTTCGAAGGAGTCATCAGACTTCATGAGGGAGAGGAAAGTCAAAAGAGTTAAGAATTTCTTATCAGTTGGTAATGAGTTACAAATATCGAGGACTGCATCAATCACTGAGTTCAGAAAATAGAAGGAGAAACAGGCCAGGCGCGGTGGCTCACATCTGTAATCCCAGCACTCTGGGAGGCTGTGGGTGGGAGGATCACTTGAGGCCAGGATTTCAAGACCAGCCTGGGCAACACAGCAAGACTGCCATGTCTACAAAAAATTTTAAAAATTAGTCGAGTGTGGTGGCACGTGCCTGTAGTCCCAGCTACTCAGGAGACAGAGATGGCAGGATCGGTTGAGCCGAGGAGTTCAAGGCTGCAGTGGACTATGATCCTGCAATTGTACTCCAGCCTGGGTGACAGAGTGAGATCGTGTCTCTAAAAGAAATACCAATAAATGTGCAAAATAAATAAAAATAAATTTTTAAAAAGGAAGTAAAAAAGTTTAGGTGAAGGGAAATGAAGAGTTCAATCTGGGACATGTTGAATTTCCAACATGCTTGTTCTTGCTGGTTATGCCATGAAAACCCTGACCATCTCTCAGGGCTATGCCGCAGTGAGCAGCCTCGAGAGATGACATAATGTCTCCCTCCAGGCCAAAGAGCAGGCTTGCTTCCTGCTTGCTATAAAAGCAGTAGATATCCCCTGTTCTGTTCCCTGAAATTCTCTGTTCTGAAAGCTCTGTTCCCTTTCTGTGATGCCACCCATTTCCTGTGCAGGCATCCAGCTGGGCCCATCACCAGGAAAAGGTGAGGGCAGGAGTAACTGTCACCCACAAGCTGATGCTCATGTTGCCTGCTGTGCCAAGAGGAATGAAGTCCTTTGTCACTGACTCAGGAGTCTCAAGTCTTGTGCCAACATCCATGAGACAGTAACAAGCTAACTTGCTAGCTTACAAGTGGGGTAAAATCAAACCACAGACTTGATACTCATAAGAGTGCGAAGTGCAGGAGAAGGATCTGGCTGGAGACGTGGATCCGGTCATGAAGCCACAGGAGCAGAAGAGCTCCTCTACGTAGAATGTATTGGCTGGGAAAGAGAAGGAAGAGGTCTGAGGAGTACCCACATTCAAGGAACGATCCAAGAAAGAGGAACCCGCATGAGAGATGGAGCAGAGCAGCCAGAGAGGGAAGTGAACATCCAGGAGAGGGCCGGGGCGTGGAGGCTAAGGAGAAAAAAAATGGAAAGTCATCCTTGGCTTTCCGATGCTGCTGAGAGGTCGAGGGAGGTAAATTCTGAGAAACAGCCACTGGAGTTAGTAAAAAAGGAGATCAGCTATGATTTTGACAAGGGCACTCTCCGTTGAAGGTGGAGGAGAAATTAGATTGCAGTGGGTCAAGGAGGATCTAAGAAGTGAAAGGGAGAAGTCAGGCATGGTGACAGATGCCGGTAGTCCCAGCTACTCATGAGGCTGAGGCGTGAGGATCACTTGAGCCCAGAGGAAGTGGGGGCGAAGGTTGCAGTGAGCAGAGATCGTGATGTGAACAGACACTGACTTGGCACTCCAGCGTGGGCAACATACACAGACCCCCACATCAAAAAACAAACAAACAAAAACCCCAAAAAACAAACAGAAGTAAAGGGGAGGGAAGGGGTGTCTGGAGAGGAACATGGTGTTAAAGAGGATGTTTTTTCTTTTTTGATACTGAAGACCTGAATGATGTGAGCATATTTTAATGCTACTGGGAAAGAGCCCGTGCAAAGAAGGCTGATGCGGGCGTTGTTCACTGGGTGGGTGGGTTTCCTGAGAGGGTGGGAGGGCCTTGGCCAGGCACTTAGCGCTCAGTGTTCTTCCAGCCACCCCCATCCTAGGTCCTGCCGCCTGCAAGGTGCTACATGTGAGAGAATGGCAAGTTCTTCCCTATCATAGGAAATTTCCCTCTCCCTCTTTCACATCCCCTTGAGGAACCCATCACCATCCTCTTCTCTGCTGAGCGAATCTGCTATGGTCTCACCTGCCCGGGTAGACCCCAGAAAACAAAGCCCACGTGATTGACATCTTGCAGGCATTAAGCAACTTCTTTCTCTCTAGTCTCGAATCACAAAGGCCTGATGATATAAGAAAAAAAGGCAAAGATTCTTTTGCTGATGAGGCCACAGTGGCCTGAAGAACAATACCACGGCTTCCTCAAGAACTCTCCCTGTACACCTACAAACTGCTCCACTAGCCCACCTATATCTCACCTATGTTCTTCTCTTTTCCTCTACTGCACTGGATGAGGTTCCTTCCTCTTATGGAAAGCTAATCTCTCCATTGAGCTCTGGGGCCCTGGAAGCTGTGCTAAGGCTCCCTGTGGCTGAGCCTGGTGCAGACGACACGGATGCTGTCCCTGTCTCAGGCCTAGACAGCTCATGAGCACAATGCTTTTCCTCTCTCCAGTTTCCCCCAGAGACTGCACTAAGCCTTGGAGTCCCAGAACAGCAAGTCTTCTCTGAGTATCATTGATGGGTTCTTGGAAACTACAACCGTAAGCAAAAGGACATATAACAAAACCATTTTTTTTTCTCATCAACTTTGTAACAACATTATTCAAAGACTTGCTGTACATCATTTCATTTAAAGTCGCAGTTTCCAACAACTGATTGAAAGGTTAAGAGAAGACTTACTGTACAATATAAGAGCCAAAAAGAAGCCACGAAAACTACTAACTTTTTATTGGTCTTGACAAGTAGGGGCACAAGATTTAATCAGACTTAGAAAAGTAATGTGACTTATCTGTTATCTCAAGTTTTATCATACAATTCATATCTGTATCCCTAGTTTGTCTTTGGAAATGGGATGATGAAGAAACTCACATAAAAAGACTTCTCTGTCCTCTGTGTAGTACAAGGCAAGGTCCTCTGCTGAGAGTGAATGGCACGGAAGAAAAGAGACAGTCTGAGCTGTGGCTGCGCTCCCTCCAGCACTTACCGTCACCACAACTTGCCACCAGGTGTGTATCTCTCAAGATGGCAAGCCTCCTTCTCACTCTCACATTCTAAAACCTGCACTTCTCCAGAGCTGCTGGGTATTTCTGGGTGCTCCCCAGAGGCCCCCTCTATTCTTCTCCACCTGCCCAGCTTCTCCAGCCGACTGACCTCTGCTTCTGTGCCAGGCTCCCTTGCCTCAGGCTCCCTGCTGTGCGCAGTCAACACAAGGCATGGCATGCATCTTCTACTGCTGTGTAACAAGCTGCCCGCCACAGAGTGATGGAATCAACCACGGCTTATTCTTTTCCGCCATCCTGCGGGTTGGCTGCGTGGTTCCTCCGCTAGCTTGGCCTAGGCTCACTCACGCAGCTGTGCTTGGCAGTTAATCTACACACGGCTGCTCAGTCCTCTACACTCAGCCACTCAAAATGGCCACTGTCACCACCCTGAACTCTGGGCCCTTCACCCTCCATCCTGCCTGCTGTTAGTCCATAATCCTGAACATCTCAATTTTCACTTTCTTTGTTCCTGCAAAGCACTGCTGCAATAAATAATAAAATAAAAAAGCGTGGCCTATGACAAATTCACCCCCATCCAACATCAAATCTGTCCTGGGTGTTGCCTAACAATCCGCTCAGTCGTCTGTTGACTTCCTGGCAAACTCCCTCAAAACAGCTATTCTGCAGCATCTCTTGCCTCAAGCTCCAAAGTACTCCCTCCCTTCATCTCAGAAAACGTCCTTATCACCCACTTCCCTCCCTTCATCTCAGAAAACGTCCTTATCACCCACTGCACTCAACAGATGTGAACTGCACGATCACTGGGTGCTATTATTAATCCTCACGTCACCTTTACAGTCGCTGACTTTGTACCACTTTAGAGGAATGTCCTATAGCTCTTGCCTCGTGCTCGTAGCCTTGGAGAAATAAAAAGTGCTCCTCCTCAAAGAAGCAAATCTCCCTCTTAGTTTTTCGTTTCCACACTCAGCTCTTGTTCTTCACACAATTACCTCTCCCTCTCAGCATCTTCATTATTTTCTTTATTAGCTGTTTCCTCTTTTGCCTTAAAATATTCAGGTATCTTCCTTATCTTGAAAAAACTTGATAGGTGCTTCGCCACTCTATTCTATTTCCCGGCTTCCTTTCACTAATCACAACACTTCTTCTAAATGGCTTATCTTGTAACCGCCAGCTTCATTTCGCAACATCCACCCCATGCCTCACCGCGCTGCAGAATCCTGCCATCGGTAGCTCTCCACTGCTCAGCCAATCAGCCAGTGTCTCCCTCCCACTCCCTCCCTTCCCTCCTCATCTCCACTTCCCTTTCTCCAATAACCTCCTTACTGTCCCCTACCCCCAAGCTTCTGGCTGCAAAATAATATCGATGGTTTTGTCTTCCTTTTGGGTGGGGGGGATTGAGGAGATGGGGTCTGCTCTGTTACCCAGGCTGGAGAAGTGGCACGATCACACTCACTACATACTCAAACTCCTGGGCTCAAGCGATTCTCCTGCTTCAGCCTTCCGAGCAACTGAGACTACAAGTACACACCATCATGCCCAGCTGATTTTTTTTTTTTCTTAATAGAGACAGAGTCTTGCTATGTTGCCCAGGCTGGTCTTGAACTCCTGGGATCAAGCAATCCTCCTACCTCAGCCTCCCAAAGTAGTGGGATTACAGGCATGAGCCTGGCCAGGTTGCTACAGTTTAAAGTATTACAGAAGGTGGCCTGGACAACATGGCAAGTCCCCATCTCTACCAAAAATTTTTTAAAAATTATTGGGGTATGGTGGCGCATGCCTGTAGTCCCAGCTACTTGGGGGAGGATTGCTTGAGCCCAGGAGGTTGAGGCTGCAGTGAACCGAGATCGTGGCACTGCACTCCAGCCTAGGCAACAGAGTGAAACCCTGTCTCAAAGTAAAAAAATAAAATATTTCAGAAGGCTAAGAGAATAAGCAGAATCTTAGATCTGGACAAAAAGAAGAGGACTGACCTCAATAAGAGCACTTGCAGAGGAGAAAAAGAGGAAGAAAAAACTCCAAAAAAGAGCCAGCAAAAAGAAAATTGAGATCACAAGTATAGAGTACACCGTGGAGGAATATGGCTATTAAAGAGAATGATGCACATCCTACCCAATAGCTGAGAGTTCCACAGCACTTACTGTGTGCCAGGGACTGTCCTGACACAGTAATCCCTACATTAACTCACTGAACCCTCACAACAACTAGGAGGTAGGTACTATTATTGTCCCCACTTTACAGATAGAAAACTAAAGCTCAAAGACATTAAATAACTTGTCAGGGATCACGTAGAGTTAATATTCAAGCAGTGACCCCCTCAGCACTAGGGAAATATAGGAGAGAGCTGGGGAGAAGTCTGACAAGAAGGATGAGTAGAAAACGGGGATGAGGGCTGGGCGCGGTGGGTCACGCCTGTTATCCCAGGAGTTTGGGAAGCCAAGGTGGGCAGATCACCTGAGGTCAGGAGTTCGAGACCAGCCTGGCCAGCATGGTGAAACCCCATCTCTACTAACAAGAGCGAAAATCCGTCTAATAAAAAAAGGGAAAAGAAAAAAGAAAAAAAAGACAACGGGGATAAGAACAAAAGAAAGTCACTCCCAATGGGAGAAAAGTAGATTAAGTAGCTTTCTGGCTCAAGAATGAACATCTTCTCTAGGTCTTCCAGGAGGAACAGTCCTCACATCCCTCTCCCCTTATACCAGGATCATGATCTGCATGGATGTGATGGCCTCTAGCCATCAGGTTCGTCTTCGCAGAATCCAGTTCTACAGTGACTTATTACGCGTGCCAGACTCTGGTGTAAGGTGCTTTAAATATTCTTCCTCACTTCTTCCTCATGACAGCTTTGTGTGAAAGGTACTATTTTACAGATGAGGAAAAGTGAACCACAGAAAGGTTAAGACATTTTCCCAAGATCACACCGGTAGCAAATGGTGGAAACGGGATTCACACACACAGCCTAGCTCTCATGCTACCTGCCACTGCGACTGCTGCCTCTCACAAATCTCAGTCAAGCACTTGGACTTAAAGGAGAACTTCTGAACTATACCACAGTGCTTCCAAAGAAAGCTGTGGATATTCCACCCCACGGGAGCTTTGACCGTAGATCCAGGGCCGCAAATTGTTGACCCAAGTGACAAATTTGGCCATCGGGTATTTTTGTTGTTGTTGTTGTTGATGATTTTTTCTTATTACAGTTTTTTTTTAGTCTAGGATTGGCGTGTTTATTTGTTTAGGTGGGGCATACATACATGTCATGAGTACAGTATGAACTCTGTCAGATTCTCACTTTTATATCACAGGCTGGCCCCCATAAGAATTTCGGTCTATCACTCCCAGAAAATATCAGTTTTGTACTGTTTAGAAATGCACCTGCAAGAAGCAGAGGAATGAGCCAAATGACACCTTAACCCAAGTGATCTGACTCTAAGGTTATTTTTAAGAGCACACACAGACACTGTGGCTTATGTAAGAGAATGTTCTTGTCTTAGAAGACCTACACTGAGGCTGGGCACGGTGGCTCATGCCTGTAATCCCAGCACTCTGGGAGGCCGAGGTGGGTGGATCACTTGAGGCCAGGAGTTGGAGACCAGCCTGGCCCACATGGCAAAACTTTGTCTCTACTAGAAATACAAAAATTAGCCAGCTGTAGTGGTACACACCTGTAAGTCCAGCTACTCGAGAGGCTGAGGCATGAGAATCACTTGAACCTGGGAGGTGGAGGTTGCGTGAGTCGAGATCGAGCTACTGCACTCCCATCTGGGTGATGGAGTGGGACTCTGTCTCAAAAAAAAAAAAAAAAAGAAAAGAAAAAGAAAGAAAGGAAGACCCCAGCGGTGCACACCTATAGTCCCAGCTACTTGGGAAACTGGGGTGGGAGGACCACTTGAGCCCAGGAGTTCATGTCCATTTCCCACCTGGACAATATAGCAAGACACCTTTCTCCAAAAAGAAAGAAAGAAAGAAAGAAGATCCACAGTGAAGCATTTCAGGGAAAGGTTACAATGTTTACAGTTTACTCTCAAATAGTCTAGCAAAATGGTGATGATGAAAATAACAATAATAATAAAATGTATAAATAGGTATGTGTGTTTGTGCATATATAGAGAGAAACGGGGGAGAGAGGGAGAAGGAGAAAGAGGAGGCAAAAACAAATGTGGCAGATCATGAGGGATTGGCGAATCTAAGTAAAAGTGTGCAGGAGTTCAGGGCAACACTCTTACCGTTTAGAAGTTTGAAATTTTTTAAATAAAAAGATTTTATTTAAAAAAAAAACAAGATAAGCACATTTCACTCTCATCCATCAAAACCACAGTAATAACAAAGGATAACAGAAACCCTGCCTCATATACATAAACTACTTATACAACAATTTACTCTGGTGTTATACTATCTGTATCACTTTGGCTTCAGAAGCTGGTTATGAAGGATGTCTTAATCCTCAGTTTCATAACAAAATATATTAGTTACAACATTTTCACTCAGTACTTCAGAAACTTGGAGACCCTGGATAGACCTAAAATATTGTTTCCTGAAGTAAAAGTTGAGATGAGGCTGTGTATCAGCCTACCATTCCTTGCAGGTAAAAGAAAGGCACAGTGGACCCTTCAACAACATGGTGTGAACAACACAAGCCCACTTAGATGTGGATTTTCTCCTGCCTCTGCCACTCGAAACAAGACCAACCCCTCTTCCTCCTCCTCCTCCTCCTCAGCCTCCTCCATGTGAAGATGATAATCAAGACCTTTATGATGATCCACCTCCTCTTAAGGAGGAGTAAATATATTTTCTCTTCCTTTTTTTTTTTTTTTTTTTGAGACAGAGTCCAGCTCTCTCACCCAGGCTGGAGTGCAGTGGCACCATCTCAGCTCACTGCAACCTCCGCCTCTGGGGTTCAAGCGATTCCCCTGCCGCAGCCTCTCAAATAAGAGATTACAGGTACGTGTCACCATGTTCCACTAAGTTTATTTTTTTATTTTTAGTAGAGACGAGGTTTCACCATGTTGGCCAAGCTAGTCTCAAACTCCTGACCTCAAGTGATCCACCTGCTTTGGCCTTCCAAAGTGCCAGTGCTGGGATTGCAGGCATGAGCCACTGCACCAGCCCCTTATGATTTTCTTAATAACATTTTCTTTTTCGTTTTTTTTTTTTTTTGGAGATGGAGTCTAGCTCTCTCGACCAGGCTGGAGTGCCGTGGCACCATCTCAGCTCTCTACAACCTCCACCTCCCAGGTTCAAGCGATTCTCCTGCCTCAGCCTCCTAAGTAGCTGGAATTACAGGCGCCCGCCACCACGCCTGGCTAAGTTTTGTATTTTTAGTGGAGATGGGGTTTTACCATGTTGGCCAGGCTGGTCTTGAACTCTTGGCCTCAAGTGATCCACCTGCCTTAGCCTCCCAAAGTGCTAGGATTACAGGCGTGAGCCACTGCGCCTGGCCTAATGTTCTCTCTTATTAAAGTAACATTAGTTTACTTTAGTGTAAGAATACAGTAGATAATCCATATAACATATAAAATATGTGTTAATTGACATTTATGTTATCAGTAAGGTTTTCAGTCCACAGCAGGCTGTTAGTTGTGTTTTGGGAGAGTCAAAAGTTACACGTGGGTTTTCAACGGTAGGGGAGATCAGTGCTCCAAACCCCCACGCTGCTGGAGTCAAGTGTGTGTGGAAAAGACGAAGCCCTTTTCATCCTTCACGAAGGCTGATGAAAGCAGCACTGCGAGTGGCTCCCTGCTGCTGGAAGAGAGATGGCTTTTCAGATGGACTCGTTGAGCCCCAGGCTCAGCTCATCAGCGGTAGCAATGGCTCGCCCTCTAAAACGGAGCAGCGGCTCCCAGCTGAAGGATCACACTGACCTCAGCTCAAGGCAGCTCACCAGTCAGGTGCCTTTCAGTGGCAATTTGTTGACATAGTTGCCCAGTAAAGGCAATATAAGAGAGCGAGTGAGAAGAAAAAAATACAAGGGCAAATGAGGTAGGGGAAGGGAGGTGGTGTTTAAATATTAATCGCCCTTTCCTCTCAAATGTCTCTTTCCTCAAATGATAATGAAATGAGATGCATTTATTTCAAAAGGACTTCCAAATTCCTTGAGATGAGAATAAAAACAAATTACAGCAGAAGCAAAAACGACTCAGAGCTTCTCTTGTCCTCCCATGTTCTGAAATACGGGGCTAGAGGCAAAAATGACCGAATGATCCTATGCACTATCCTCGCATCGTATTTCTGGTGCCAAAGACATGGGAAAACAGCAGAAGGGGCCAGGTGAGCCCTGCACATGTCCAGATGGTATCCGGATGGAGCTGGGATCCTGGCCACAGTGGAGGAAACCGTATTGCTAACAGTTCAGCCTCAGGAGTAGTGAGGATCCTAAAGGTGAGCTAAGAATAAAAGAGACAGCGAGAAGGAGCACAGGTCAGGAAAATATGAGGCCATTAATTCTGAGAAAGAGATCGAGGTCTGTCTGCAAAGGGAGACAGCTGAAGAGAAAAATGTAAAAACACTGAAATAAGTGAAAAGAAAGTTACAGGAGATAGGAAAAAAATTCATAGCTTAATGATGAAAATAAAAGAAAGAAGTTTAGAAATAAGAAAACAAGACATTAGACAGGAACTAGAAAATGAAACAAAAATATAACATAATTGATAAAATCATATATAATATTAAGGTTGGTTAACCTATTTCTACTAAATGAAACTTTGAATTAAGTGAATTGATTGAAGATTCAAGTAAAGCTTTTAGGCCAGGCTGAGGCAGGGCAATAGGGTCTGGAGGCAGGGATCCTAAGGCTATTTCACACTGACTTCCTAGAACTAAATTGAAAGGAAAACCCTAACTTTCCAGCCTAAGTAACAAAAGGACCAGAGGCTACTCCCTTTGCAAACTCACTACCTTTTCTGGTAGGCAGATGGGAAATTGGCTGTCTGCAACAAACCAGACTGACTGCGGGTTGAGTCTTCGTTTGCATCTTTGTTCACTCCGGCCTCTGAATGGTTGCTGTCCACAACCAGTCAGACCGATGGCTGCTGTCCACAACCAGTCAGACTAATGGCCTGCCAAGTCTGTTTGCACAGAGGTATAACTTTGTAACTTCACCCTAGCCTCTGATTGGCTGCGAAAACCAACTCCTGTTTGCACAGGGGTGTGACCTTTGTAACTTCACTTCAGCCTCTGGTTGGCTGCTTTCTGCAACCATTCAGACTGACTGTGGGCTAGCACTTCATTTACATGAGATGGACGTGAAGTGGCCAATGGAAAACTGCTAGCGGGTATTTGGACCCAAGAAGATTCTGCATCTGGACCCTGGAGCTGCTGCTCTGGCCCACTCCCACACTGTGGAGTGTACTTTCATTTTCAATGAATCCCTGCTTTTGTTCTTTTGTTGCTTCATACTTTGCTTTGCTTTGCTGGGCATTTTGTCCAATTCTTTGTTCAAAATGCCAAGAACCTGGACAACTTGCAGTCACAACCCTCGACCAGTGACAAGGCAAGGTGGCTCACACCTGTGATCCCAGCACTGTGGAAGGCTGAGGCGGGAGGACCACCTGTGTCCAGGAGTTCAAGACCACCCTGAGCAATACAGTAAGAACCTGTTTCTACAAAAAAATGTAAAATTAGCCAGGCATGGTGGTGTGTGGCTGTAGTTCCAGCTACCCTGGAGGCTGAGATGGGAGGATGACTTGAGCAGGTGAGGTTGAAGCTGCAGTGAGCTCTGTGATGCTGCCATCACACGGCAGCCTGGGTGACAGAACAAGACTCTGTCTCAACATAAATAAATTCAATTAAATTAAAGCAACCTTTTAAAACCATTTTTAACATTATTAAAATTATTAAAGAATTTAAATTATTGAAGTTATCTTTTCAAAAAACTATTTAAAAAACTGAAACCAAGCCAGCCATGGTGGCTCACACCTGTAATCCCAGCACTTTGTTGGGGCTGGGTCGGGGGAGGGGGTACCGAGGTAGGTGGATCACTTGAGGTCAGGAGTTCAAGACCAGCCTGACCAACATGGTGAAATGCCATCTCTACTAAAAATACACAAACACACACACACAAATAGCCAGGCGTGGTGGCAGGCGCCTGTAATCCCACCTACTAAGGAGGCTGAGGCAGGAGAATCCCTTGAACCCGGGAGGTAGAGCCGAGATGGTGCCACTGCACTCCAGCCTGGGCAACAGAACGAGACTCCGTCTCAAAAAAAGTAAATAAATAAATAAATAAATAAATAAATAAATAAATCCAGCCTGGGCGACAGAGTGAGACTCCGTCTCAAAAATAAATAAATAAATGATAAAATAAAATAAAAAACTGAAACCAATGTAGTAAAATAAAATTAAAATCGTTTTTTAAAGTTTAATAATTCCTTCTTTTGTTAAGTTTTTGGAGTAGAGAAAAAACATATAAACTCGTTTTGCATATAGTAATGGGCTGGTTATCACTGGCTCCTCATAGGCAAAAAGTCCTGATTTGGATCCTTTTTTATTTCCATTGTGGTTTTATTTCCATTGTTCCAAGATCGATTTCAAGCTGCCAATTACAAACATGAAATCACTAAAGGTGGAGTCTGGAAGAAATGACAATAGCATACCATTATATGGTACATCCACCACACATACACTAGACACAAATAACCTCAAAGTATGAGTAAAATATAATAAAGTAATTACGAAGTGGTAAATTGTATTTATTACAATTACCTTTCTTTTTGTCATTGTTAATAAAAGCATTTATTTTGCATTTAATACAGAATAACCTGAAAAAATATGGAACGCTTCACAAATGTGTGTGCCAGCCTGTGTAGGTGCCACGCTCATCTTCTCGATGTTGTTCTGATCTTAGATAAGTGCTGCTGAAGAAAGCACCCTTGTTTTTTAATATAACTGAATTGTCTATATAATTTATTTCTAATATAAACTAGCTTTAACAATAGTTTGCAGAACTCCTGAAATTTAGCCATTAGCTCTTGTGAGCTGGGATAAGTCGGCACGGTCTGGCTCCAGCACACCACTGACGCTGAGAGTCAAAATCACTTCATTCAGACAGCTAAAGAGGCCTTCCTGGGGCCGTCCCTGCACGGGTTCATCTCCTCAACAGCGAGAGTGGCCAGGAGCAACTCACTCAGTATTCTACCATGTACACAAAACAGAAATCAAATACTACTCTTGAAAATAAAATGTTGTCCCTTTGAAAAATAATTTTCTTCCTTTTAAATCGATTTCATGGGATTAAAAAAACGCTAACTCCTCAATTTTGGTAGGCTTTTGAAAGAAAGTGAAAATCAACTGTTCCATATAAAGTATTTAAAATATGCTGAGACATTTGATTTCTTTTTCTTTCTTTCTTTTTTTTTTTCCTTTGAGACAGAGTCTCGCTCTGTCGCCCAGGCTGGAGTGCAGTGGCATAATCTCGGCTCACTGCAACCTCCGCTTCCCAGGTTCAAGCAATTCTCCTGCCTCAGCCTCCCAAGTAGCTGGGATTACAGGTGCCCACCACCATGCCCAGCTAATTTTTTGTGTTTTTAGTAGAGACAGAGTTTCACCATGCTGGCCAGGCTGATCTCAAACTCCTGACTTCAAGTGATCCGCCCGCCTAGGTCTCCCAAAGTGCTGGTATTGCAGGCGTGAGCCACCGCACTCAGTCAACATTCGATTTCTTTTGTCAACGTAGATGTCTTATATTGATAAGAAGTACAAACTAACTCCAAAAGCCTTTATGGTTACAAGTATTAAAAATGTTTTTCTGTACCTGTGCTATATATATAGTAGTGGGCATAGGAGTAAGACTATTTGGAGCAAATGAGCCCCAATAAGGTGGCCCAATCGTGGTGTCATCATTTAATTATGTATAGCATTTGGACCACTTAAAATGTTTGACCCGGGGAAGCTTGGTTCTTGGCAGGCTGGCATTTAGTGGGTGTAGTATCAAGTTCCTGACACAAGGGGGAGCCAGTGCCATTGAGCTAGGCTGTGACTTCAGTTTAAGGGCAGCCTAAGGTCAAAAACACCAAAGTGAAGACCAGATTCAGAATATTTCACACAATTATAAGAGACAAAAAAAAATAGGCAAAACATTTTACCTGCTCTATTAAATAGCTAATATTATGCTAAGGATAAGAGAACATTTAAAGCAATCCAAAAATGTCTAAGGACAAAGCAGGATCTGAAAATGTTTTCATTCATTTAACAAATATTTGAACCCTATGATGTGCTGGTATCGTTTACAGAACAGCAGAGAACAAAATAAAGACCTCGCCCTTACGGAGGGCATTTTTCACACATGTACCTTATTTTGGAAAAGCCATGAAATGAAGGTAAAATAATGACGAAATCTCTTTCTTCAGCAGAGCTATTCTGTTCAAAAAAGGCCTCTTTTATCCAAGGTCCCTCTAATCAAGAGATCGTGTCTCCACTGCTAAGATATGCTTCCTGAACACCTGGTTCTAACTTGCTGCAGTGTTATTTCTTATATAGTCCTATGTGCTAGAGTTTGTAGCCCCCTAAAAAACTCTGGATCTCCTGTATATCATTAAAAACAAAAGCTCTACAAAATACTGGATATTACAGAGTGACTGAGAAACAATTTAACCACACGGTCACTTTTCATGTGCCATGGCGCAGGCACTCCGCAGCATTGCGATTACTATGAATTAGACAAAATCCCTGCTGTAATGGAACTTACAATCAAGGGAGTGAAAGAGTAAACATAAATAAATCTAAGCGAATTTTAGGTAGTGATAAATACAATGAAGAGATCAGCACCATACCCATGATTGTCATAGCTCTATCAGTTTGCTAGGGCTGCCATAACAAATTACCATAGACTGTGTGACTTAAACCACAGAAATTGATTTTCTCGGTTCCGGAGGCCAGAGGTCCCAGATAAAGGTGTCAGCAGGTCGGCTGCTTCTGGGGCCTTCCTCAATTTGTAGGCGCCACTTTTTCTCCCTGTGCCCTCACCTGGTCACCCCTCTGTGCGCGAGCATCCCACTGTCTCTCTGGGTGTCCAAACTTCCTCTTCTTAGGAGGACACAAGTCAGATTGGATTAGGGCCCACCCCAATGGCCTCATTTTAACTTAATCACCTCCCTTTTGTTTGGGCTTTTTAACTTAATCACCTCTTTAAAGACCTTATCTCCAACTAAGGTTTCATTCTGAGGTATACTGGAGGTTAAGACTTTAAAACACGAATTTGGAGGGGACGTAATTCAGCCCATAACAATAACAATAATGACATCTTACAACTTACTGCCACCACCAAGCTTGCCTGGCCACCATTCCCTCTTGCCTGCACCACTGCAATAGACCACAGGCTGTCATTCTGCTTCTGCTCTTGATGGCCATCTCAATCCATTCTCACAGCAGCCAGAACAATCTTTTTAAAATGAAAATCATAACATGTAATGCCCTGCTTAAAACCCTTCAATGGCTTTCTGGTCAACTTCTTCCTGATCAACTGCACCGAGAAACTTCTTTTTCACAGCATGTAATGCTCTACGTCATTTGGCCCTGCCAACGTTTTTGGCTTGATCTTACACCACTCTCTAGCGACCTCACAGGTACACTATCCTCTTTGCTTTTCTCCAGCATCCTAATCCTTTCCCCTTCAAAGGGCCTTTATATTTGCTCTCCCCTGCTTCACACAGCTGACTCCTAATCTTAAAGTTCTTATCTCGAAAATTACTTCCAGAGACGCACTCCCTGACCAGAACGTCTAAACTATTCCATCCCACCTAAACACACCCCAATTCTCTAATGTATTATCCTACTTTATTTTCTTTATAGCACATTTTGTTACATCATCCTGTTTTATTTACAGTGTAGCATTTATTACTATTTGAAATTGTATTTATTACTTGTTTACTTTTCTATTATCCACCTTTTTCCTCTAAAATATAAGTTCCTGGAGGGCAGAGGCTTTGGCTTTCATTGCTATATTCTAACACCTAGAAAAAGCTCACACTTAATAAGAAATCAAATATTTGTTGAGTAATTCATGTTTGTGTGTTTGTTTTTTATAGACAGGGCCTCACTATGTTGGCCAGGCTGGTCCTGAACTCATGGGCTCAATCGATCCTCCCGCCTCAACCTCCCAAAGTGCTGGGATTACAGGCATGAGCCACCGTGCCCAGACAATAATTAATTTGTAGAACACTTTATAGCTTGAAAAATGCCTTTCACTTAAACAGTACTTTCATATATATCCACTCATTTAATTCTAATGTCAATCTATATTATATTCCCTATTTTAAAAATAAGGAGACTAGAACTTTGAGACGATATCTGACTCGCCCTGCTAGTAACGTAGCTAGTCTGGGGCAAAATTGGAAATTGGTCCTATCCTCTGACTCCTGGACTTGTCTCTCAGCACTTTTTGCAATAACATCTTAGAACAAATCTTGATGGCGAGTGTGATTCAAGGTGAAAAGTAGTGGCAGAGAAAAAGACTCAGGTGCAGACCAGATCCTATGCTGTCTGCATATTTCACCAAGAGGCCTTGGTCATAACAAGGGTTCCATAAATGTTTACTGAATTAATAGACTATGGCATTTTTCTGTGTTGGGAAAGGCCTAAGTAATTCTAAATTCCACATTGCCCAATGGCTGCCGACTGCCCAACAAAATGAGAACAAGCCCACTGTCCTGGAATTTCCTTTTTAAAAATAACACCAAAACGCCGCTTGGCAAAAACCACAGTAATAACATTCACAGGCAAGATTGACCAACGGATGCTACTTGTGGGCCAGAGTTTGAGGGGAATCAATATTTGCACAGTCTTAAAGTATCTCCTCCAAGGTATTTACCAAATACAAAAGGAAAATTCATAACTTTGCTGTGGGGAAACCTGGCAGACACTATCTTAAGCAAGCAATTAAGGTTAACATCATCAGTACTAAAGCAGAGCAACATCATGTATTCCCTGACATGATGCTCTGAGAAGGGCACAAACTCACTTGTGTGTAGTATTCTCGCCAAAAATATACTGGCTCAATCTAATCACAGGAAAATATCTGGCAAACCCAAACTGAGGGACATTCTAAAAAAGAATTCAGCAGGATTTTTCAAAAGTATCAAGGTGATGAAAGAGGAACTGTCACAGACTGGAGGGCTAAAGAGACAAGACAACAGCGCAGGACAGCGTTCTGCACGGATCCTGGGAGAGAGGAGGGAATTCGTGGGAAATTGGTGAAACTCCAGTACATCTCTAGTTCAGTTGATGGTACTGAACCAACGTTAATTTATTGGTTTTGATCATTGTAGTGTAGTTATGTAAGATGTGAATGGGGTGAAGGATACACAAACTCTTTTTTTTTTTTTTTAAGAGGCAGCGTCTCACTCTGTTGCACTCTGAAGTGCAGTGATGCCATCATAGCTCACTGCAGCCTCGAGCTCCTGGGTTCAAGCAATCCAACCACCTCAACCTCCTGAGCAGCTGGAAGCACTGTGCCACCACACTTGGCTTTTTTTTTTTTTTTTTTTTTTTTTTTTTTTTTGTAGAGACAAGGTTTCATTATGTTGCCCATCCTGGGTACTATGTTTTTGCATTTATATAACTCTAAAATTATTTCAAAATAAAATGTTTTTTAAAATACTGGATAGTATTTCACTGTGTAAACATATCACATTTTCCTTATCCATTCATTCGTTTGGACACTTAGGTTAATTCCCTATATTGGCTATTGTGAATAATGCAGTAAATAAGGGGGTGCACTGAAAAGATTAAATTTCAAAATAATGGCATACTAGATTCCTTTTTTCTCTGTGGTCAAGAAATGGAAATTTCTGGTTAATCAAATATTTTTAAAAGAGTTACCACTTTTACACAATATCAGGGATATTAGCCATTTACAATGTAAGATTTTTCTCAAGGTGTTATTTATCTCTTGATTTTATAATTCTTTTTTGGCTTGAAATTTTATTATGTAAAATTTTATTAAATTTTAAAATCTTTCTACTTCTGGCTTTTGTTTTGAGTTATTTTTCCTACTCCAAGTTTATAATGGAATTCATTCATATTTTTAAATACTTAACAAGGTTTTGTTTTAAACCTAGATACTTGTTGCACACAAACTTTATCTTACTATACAGCATGAAGTACAGACCCAATTTTATATTTTTCTAAATAGCTATCCAGTTAAATCTATGTTTTCCTCACACATCAGAGATGCTATTTATATCCTATATTAACTTTCCATATGCACTTGGAACAATTTCTGGATTTTCTATTTCATTGATCCATTATGCCATACTGTTTTAACAATAGAGGATTTGTAGTATGTTTTAATATCAAACAAAGCTAAACTCACCACCCTACTTTTTTTTTTGAGACGGAGTCTCACTCTGTCACCCAGGCTGGAGTGCAGTGGCACGGTCTCAGCTCACTGCAAGCTCCGCCTCCCAGGTTCATGCCTTTCTCCTGCCTCAGCCTCCTGAGTAGCTGGGACTACAGGCGCCTGCCACCATGCCCAGCTAATTTTTTGTATTTTTCGTAGAGACAAGGTTTCACCATGTTAGCCAGGGTGGTCTCGATCTCCTGACCTCGTGATCTGCTTGCCTCGGCCTCCCAAAGTGCTGGGATTACAGGTGTGAGCCACCACGCTGGGCCACCTTACTCTTTATCAGAGTTTTCTTGCCTATTCTTGCTAACTTATTTCTCATATGAAAATTAAAATTCACTTATCTAGGTCCAGAAAAGATCTGGTGATATTTTAATTGAGACTGTGTTAACTTAATAAGTTAATTTAGAATTATTTGGCATCTTTATAATTTCAAGTCCTCTTATCCAACAACATGGTATGTCTATTTGTTCATCTATTTTTATATATTTCAAGTTATCTGAATTATGTAGCATTTATATGGTTTTTGTTATATTTTTGTCTATAAATTTTAGCTTTTTTGTTGCTATTGTAAATGAGTCTTATTTTCCATTATATCATCCAACTGGGCATTGTTTGTATAGGTGAACGCTCTTGATTTCTATGTATTAATTTTATTCCCTACTATACTTTAGCAAATATTATTTTTCTTTGTAGTTTTTCCATTTATTTTCTTGAGGTTTCCAGATATTTAATCATATATCTGTGAATAAAGATAGTTCTTTCTTCTATCTTTTCTACCTTCTACCATTTAACGTCAAATACTTACGTGTCTGTTATCACCTATATAATTATATTGCTTAATACCTCTAGTCAATACTAAATAATAACAGCAAATGCGGATATCTTTATCTTATTCCTGACATTAATGAAAATGCTGTTTGTGCCTTCTTTATTAAGTAAGAAACTAGATTTTGGGCTGAAACACACATATTTTATGCTAAGAAATCATGTCCTTAATTTCTACTTTATCGAGTCTTCAAAATTATGAATGTGTGAATTCTGTCAAATGCCTCTATAGAGATGATCCTATGATTTTTCTTCACAGATCTGTTTATATGATGAATTACATTAATAAACTTCCCAACACAGAACTATTTTTACATTTCTGGAATAAACTCCATTTGCTTATGTGTGCCACTGAATTTTGTTGCTAACATTTTATCTACAATTTTTGTACAGATATTCATAAGATTGTTTTGTAAGATTTTTTAATGCAGTCTTTTTTAAGTTTTTGGTGTCAACATTATACTTACTTTGTATTCTCTGAAAGAGATGAAGTAGCACTAGAGCTAAAATGTTCTTCTTTGATAGAATTATCCTGTGAAACTATCTGGATTGAAGCCTTTTGGTGAGAGAACTCTGAAAACTTGCCTAATGATTCTATGTAAATTGGTGTGTTTAGAGTTTCTATCTTTGTGAGATCAGTTTGTTTTGCTTTTTCATCAATTGATTTTTTAAGTGTGTAATCCAGTGGCTTTAGTATATTCACAAGGTTGAGCTACCATCACCACCATCTAATCCCAGAACATTTTAATCACCCCATAAAGAATCCCCATACCTGTTAGCAGCTACGTCCATCCCTCCCTCCCCTTACCTCCTCACAACCACTGATCTGTGTGTCTACAGATTTGCCTGCTCTAGACATTTCATATAAATGTCATACACATGTGGCCTTCTGTGTCCAGCTTCTTTCACTTAGCAGAATGTTTCCTAGGTTCATCCGCGTTGTAACACACATCAGTACTTCATTCCTTTTATAGCTGAACAATATTCTATTTTATAAATACATCACGTTTCATTTATCCATTCATCACCTGATTGACATGAGTTGTTTCTATTTTTTGGCTAGTATAAATAATGCTACTATGATCATTCATCCACAGGTTTTTGTATGGACATATTTTTTCATTTCTCGTCAGTATACGCCTAGGAATGAATTTGCTGGGTCATATGGTAACTCTACATTTAACTTTCCCAAGAACTACTAAACTGTTTTCTAAAGTGGCTGCACCATTTTATATTTCCACCAACATTTGCTATCTTTCATTTTTAAAATTACAGCCATCCTAGTGGATCTAAAGTAGTATTTCACTATGGTTTTGATTTGCATTTCCCTGATGACTAATGATGCTTAGCATATTTTCATGTGATGTTTTGGCCATTAAATAATCTTCCTTGGAGAAATGTCTATTCAAATACTTTGTCCACATTTTAATTGGGTTGTCTTTTTATTGTTGTCAGTTTTTTATATATTACAGGTACTAGACCCCTTATCAGATATATGATTTGCAAATATTTTCTCCCACTCTGTGGCTTGTCTCTTTATCTTCCTGACAGTGTCCTTTGAAGCACAAAGTTTTTAATTTTGGTGAAATTCAATTTATCTATTTTTGTCTTGGGTTGCTTGTTTTAGGTATCATAGCTAAGAAACCACTGCCTAATCCAAAGTCACAAACATTCACATCAATGTTTTCTTCTAAGGGTCTTACGATTTTAGCTCTTTATTGAGATCTTTTATCTTCTTCTTCTTCTTCTTTTTTTTTTTTTTTGAGACAGAGTCTCGCTCTGTTGCCCAGACTGGAGTGCAGTGGTGTGATCTCGGCTCACTGCAACCCCCGCCTTCCAGGTTCCAGCGATTCTCCTGCCTCAGCCTCCCAAGTAGCTGGGATTACAGGTGTGTACCACCGTGCCCAGCTAATTTTTGTATGTTTAGTAGAAATGGGGTTTCACCACGTTGGCCAGGCTGGTCTTGAACTCCTGACCTCAGGTGATCTGCCTGCCTTGGCCTCCCAAAGTGCTGGAATTACAGGCGTGAGCCACTGTGCCCAGCCCTTTTATCCATTTTGAGTTAATTTTCATATATGGTGTGTGGTAGGGTCCAACTTCATTCATTTGCATGTGGATATTCAGTCATCCTAGCATCATGTGTTGTAAAGACTATTCTTTTTTCTATCGAATTGTCTTGCCGCCTTTATTGAAGATCAATTGACCATAAGTGTAAGGGTTTATTTCCAGACTCAATTCTATTCCACTGATGCATGTGTCTAGCCTTACATCATCATGCCAGTATCACAGTCTTAATTACTGTAGCTTTTCAGTAAATTTTGAGATCGGGAAATGGGAGTCCAACTTTGTTATCCTTTTTCAAGATTGTTTTGGCTATTCTAGGTCCCTTACATTTCTATATGAATTTTAGAATTAACTGTCAATTTGTTTAAAAAAAAAAAAAGGCAACCAGGATTTTGATAGAGATTGCAATGAATCTGTTAATCAATTTGGGGAGTATTGCAATCATAACAATATTAACTCTTCCAATCTATATACATATGACTAGGACTGGTTCTGGCAAATTGTATTTTACTAGAAAGTTGACCATTTTAGCTAGGTGTTCAAATTCACTTGTATAGAGTTGTACAAATGACTCTCATTAGATTTGAAATTTTCCTATGTTTTAATCATTCTGTCTCCCAAGTTATCTTGCATTTGTCCTTTCCCAAATAAGACACTGCTAGTGATTTATCTTTCTATTAAACTTTTGCAAAAAAAAAAAAAAAACTTTCATTTATTGGTTCCTACTGTTACACTGTTTCCCAACCCCATTAATTCTGTTTTTATCTTCATTAATTTCTCCTTTCTGCTTTCTTTCAGTTTACCTATTTTCCCTAGCTTTTTTGAGTTGGATGTTCTGTTCATTTTCTTCATGCTTTCATTTTTCTTTATATAGGCATTTAATGAGTCTTAATTTGGTTGTATCTCATAGATTCTAACATCATTTCCATTTTCTTTTCTTTTTTTTTTTTTTTTTTTTTTTTTTTGAGATGGAGTCTCATTCTGTTACCCAGGCTGGAGTGGAATGGCACAATGATGGCTCACTGCAACCTCTGCCTCCTAGGTTCAAGCAATTCTCCTGCCTCAGCCTCCCAAGTAGATGGGATTACAGGTGCATGCCACCATGCCTGGCTAATTTTGGTATTTTTATTAGAGACAGGGTTTCGCCATGTTGGCCAGGCTGGTCTTGAACTCCTGACCTCAAAAGATTCGCCTGCCTTGGCCTCCCAAAATGCTGGGATTACAGGCATGAGCCACTGCGCCCATCCTGTCATTTCTGTTTTCAAATCTAGTTTCCATTATTGTTATTTTCTTATAAGTTTTCAATTTAATTTTCCTAAAATTTTACCTTTGAACTAAGAAGGGCTTTTTTTATATAGACTTTAAAAATGTTTTCCAGGTTAAGATACAGATTTAGGTATGGAAGAGATTTCCCAGAAAGGGTGTAAATGAAAAGAAGGATGGAGATGAAACTCTAGCAGACATTAATAGTCCAGATAGAAAGATAATCGTCCCAAAGCAGAGGCTGAGAAAAAAGAGTCAGAGGTGTTGGATGAAAACAAAAGATGCCGGCTGTGGTGGCTCATGCCTGTAATCCCAGCACTTTGGGAGGCTGAGGCAGGTGGGTCATTTGAGGTCAGGAATTCAAGACCGGCCTGGCCAACATGGTGAAACCCCATCTCTACTAAAAATAAAAAATTAGCCGGGCATGGTGGTGCACGCCTGTAATTCCAGCTACTTGGGAGGCTGAGGCAGGAGAATCACTTGAACCCAGGAAGCAGAGGCTACAGTGAGCCGAGATTGCGCCACTGCACTCCAGCCTGGGCAAGTGAGACTCTGTCAAAAAAAAGAAAAAAGAAAGAAAGAAAGGAAAGGAAAGGAAGAGAGAAAAGAAAAGAAAACAAAAGACAATCATATGAAAAATAAAGTAAGAGACAACAACCTCAGGAAAAACAGTTTGAACAGGATGGGACGGAGAGATAGAAGTGAAATTACAAATTGCACGTTGAAGAAGGAACAGAGTGCTCAATAAAGAGCAAACTCTTTTTTAAGATTCTTAGCTGTAAAGAGAAAGATAATCATAGGGCCTTAGCCAGGGGTTTTAGTGGGTGGAAATTTTTTAGTTTTGTTTTATATAGAAGGCGTTTGTGGGAGAAGGTATTTCATCCATAATCCTTTATATCCTTTTCCCAACGTAGACAAGGGCATTCCATGCTCACTGCCTCCGGGAGAGGAGAACTCGGCAGAATACAGTTGGCAGGGTAAGTGCCCAGGAAAGCTTTGTTATGAAAAGGGATAGTTACTTGCCAGGGTGTGGCTAAGGCCCATAAGCTACCCACACCGGCACCTGTGGAGACCTCCTTGATTCTGCCTGGCTTTGGGCTGCGGGTTCATAAAGGTCACCAGGTCCAGTTGGGTTGGAGAGCCCGCCGTGTGCCAGCTCTGTGCTGCTCCTTCGCATGCAGTACCGGACTAGCCGTGCTGTGAGGCCGCTCTGAAGCTCACCCAGGATTAAGAACTACTGCTCTGGTCCGCACGCCAATGGATCTACCATCCTAAAGCTAGAGTTTGCTTTCTTTTTTGGGTTTTTGTTTTTTTTTTTTTAATCCTGAAATGTTGCTCAGGCTGGTCTCGAACTCCCAAGCTCAAGCAATCTTCCGTCTCAGCCTCCTGGGTAGCTGGGACAGCAGGCGTGCACCACCACACCTGGCTAGGGTTTTCTTTCTAAAAGCCCAAATCTCATCTTATCCCTTCTCAGCATTTATGGATTTGTATTGCTTACACAATGAAATCCAGGATCCTAGAGCAACAGACAAGATCATTCACTGAATGGCCCCAGCCCACCTTTACAGATTCATTTCCTAATAACACCACACAACTAGTTACATACCCCCAGCTAATATTATCACACTGTATATAGAGAAAAGGCAATGTTGTATGCGTTACAGAACTCAAATAATAAATACATTTTGTCATCAGTAAGTTTATAACTTAGCAGAGACAGAAATACAAGCTTTCAGTAAAAAACAGAAGTACTCTTAGAGTTATGTGAGCAAAGGAAATATGGCATAAATGAGCTCTCAGTAGAAACTGGAGCTGTTACAAAATGTACTCAGTAGTTTTAAGAAAAAATAAACATTTGAGTGTCACTTCTCAGTAATCAAAAACATGAAACAGAAGATGGCGATGGGTTAGGAGCTGGTGTAACTACCATCCCTTTAAATTAACCAAAAGCTTACTTGAATTACAGCACTTACAGCCTGGCTCCTGGACTGGTTTCATTACTGCATGGCACCTCTGAACACTTGTTTCTAACCCCTTTAAAGATAAAAGTAATGAATTCCCATGCTACCTGGGCCCTGCTACTATAAGCAAATCTTCTCCCTTTCACAGCCATTTCAATACCATGCATGCCAGTCTTGTCTTTCTCACCCCTGCCTCTCAGACACCTCGCCTTACTATATATGAAGATGAAATGGATGAAGTTTTGTTACTTCTTCTATCTGTGATATAGAAAACACTGAACTCTATTGCTACAGTTGGCCATGGTAAAGATGGAGTTTACTTGCTCTGTGCATAAAGTGGTATCACTAGTTACTAACCCCTACCTTTCTGCAAATAAATTCAGAGGCAGTTTCAGAATACTCTGGAACTCTCGCATGAATCTATACAAATGTATTGATATCCACAGCTTGGGATTCGGGGAGGAAGGCTTAAAGAGAGACATTCTTTATGTCATGCTTATCAGGAGTAGCAAAGCGATGGTCGCTCTCCCATACCCCATCAGCCCTCCCTGAAGGGGGCCATCCTGTTAACCAACTTCCGCCTGGGACAGTGCTCACCAAGATACCTAAGGAGCCCAAAGCCTTCCTTGGGTCCCTGTGGAGCAAAATCAATAATGCCACTATGTGAGGATAACAGCCACTGCTGTAACAAACTCCAGCCTCCAGTGGCTTAACACAATAGTCATGGAGACGGCTCACATAAAATCCAAAATGGATTTTCCTGATCGGTGGATGGCTTTCCTCCGACAACTCATTCAGGGACCCAGCTCCTTCCATCTTGTGGTTCCATAATTTTCAACATATGGCTTCCAATGTCACTATACTGTATATATCAAGCTGTAAAGGGAAAAGCACCTCCCACGTGGGAGGTTTCCATGGACCGGGCCTAGAAGTAGCACCCATTACCTCCATCCACATTTCATTGGTAAAAACTAGGTCACATGGTCTAGCTAGACCATAATTCCCAGCTCCCCTCTATCTGCAAGAGAATCTGGGAATTACAGTATAGCTATGTGCTCAGGAGGAGAGGAAACAGAATTAGACTATGCAATCTCCACCACAGCCGACCACCATGACATGAATCACTAGCACTACCAGGGAGGGGGATGGTAATAAACCGGTGAGTTTACCACAGAGTTCCAACTGTTGGCCTAGAAACTGTGTTGGAATGGCCTAACACTAGGCTCAAACAACCTCATTAGGATTTGGGGTAACTATATCAGATGAGCAGTAAGGTCTCTGCCAAATCCACACTTCCCTCCCCAGAGTTTCTGAATGTATAGGTTGCTATGCTTTGTACCATTGGACCTGCCTCCCTAGGCACAGATACTTGAACCAGAGATGGCTACTTAACCAAAATAAGGCGTCCCTCTATAGGTGTGCAAGAGAGGGGCTGATGCAGTTGAGCTCTGCTCAACAAAGGCACACACTACTGAATATTGACAAATGACCAAAGCCGACTTTTCTTCTTTTTTCCTTGGGAGTTTTAAAGCAAGACATACAGATGGAAGAGAGATGGAAGAGGAACGGCACAGAGAGAGAAGGCAGGTGCAGAATCACAAAGCATCTGAACCCATGAGGAGGTAGACGCAAAGGAGTAGGAGACACACAGCAGGATCAAATCAGTCGGGAGCAAAATAGGAAGAATCTGGAAAAGAAGAAATAAAAGCAGGTGAGTAGAATCACCAGCATGTTAGATTACCAGGTGATGTGGAGTCACCAGAGTGACTTGAAATACGAGAGCCCCTGTGTTACCCTAATGGCAATAAATGTCCTTCCAGTACACTGAGAGGCTGGAATGCTGCTGAGGGGACTTTTTGCTATTCCTTATACAAATGAATTCCTTGTATTAAATGGCATAGTATTTGCATATAACCTAAGCACATCCTTCCATATACTTTAAATCCTCTCTGGATTACTTATAACACCTTCTATCACTTATACTTATTTCCAAATACGTCCTTACAAGAAACTTGCTCGAACTGAGAAAACTTAAAGAATATTTGGTCCCATCCAACCTGACAGAGCATGACCAACAGAATGATAAAAAGGAGCCCCGTTTCCAAACAAGTGTGGGGCCACAGGAATACACAGTAACACTTTCTGGCTTGTGTCCATTCTATATTTCAAAGCTAATAAAGAAACTACCATGAGCTGTTCTTTGTGGTGCATTTGCATTAAGTCTTCCACACTTTTCGAGTGAATCTAATATTAGATTTCCTCTGTTAAGGAGAATAGGTTGAGGCTGCAGGACGAATGAATCTGGAAGCCACAGAGGGTACACACCCAGAGGCCTCAGGAAGTACACTCTCTGAAACCACCAATCCTCAGACAGCCTCTGGCTCCCCACTTTTGAAATCATACAGCAAAATTTGCACTTGATCAAGACAGTCCAATAAGAACAATAGGCTGGGCACAGTGGCTCATGCTTGTGATCCCAGCATTTTGGGAGGCTGAGGCAGGCGGATCACTTGAGGCCAGGAGTTCGAGACCAGCCTGGCCAACATGGTGAAACCCCATCTCTACTAAAAATACAAAAATTGGCCAGGCGTGGTGGCTCCTGCCTGTAATGCCAGCTACTTGGGAGGCTGAGGCAGGAGAATCACTTGAACCCAGGAGATGAAGGTTGCAGTGAGCTGAGGTCACATCATTGCACTCCAGTCCGGGTGACAGAGCGAGATTCCTTTTCCAAAAAAAAAAACAGGGCTGGGCACAGTGGCTCACACCTGTAATCCCAACACTTTGGGAGGGCTGAGATGGGCAGATGACCTGAGGTCAGGAGTTCCAGACCAGCCTGGCCAACATAGTGAAACCCCTTCTCTACTAAAAACACAAAAATTAGCTGAGCATGGTGGCGGGTGCCTGTAATCCCAGCTACTTGGGAGGCTGAGGCAAGAGAATTGCTTGAACCGGGGAGGTGGAGGTTGCAGTGAGCTGAGATCAGGCCACTGCACTCCAGCCTGGGTGACAGAGTGAGGCTCCATCTCAAAAACAAAAACAGACAGATACCTGTAATCCACAGTCAACCAAAGTTGGCCTCCAAAGATACAGAAATGGCCTTCTTTATTAAAACAGCCAGTAATGGGCCCTGAAGAGGGAAGCCTGAATCCAAATGTTATTTTTCTTGTCACAATGCCATTCCTATTAACTCCCATCTGTAAAGCCTGGAACATAGCCTACTGGGATATCTAGGACCGACCCCATGCCCTTTGTGATGTCCTCCAATACATTAACCCTTATGGCATTTATGCCACTTAGCCTAAGCTTGAACTGGAGAGCTACCTCCATTCCAGATCCCCGAACGCTACAGAAAAGCCATAAAAGCAAGCTTCATCACAGATATGACCCCACTCCATGGGAATCATACCATAGTATGAAAGTAAGTAACCATTTCAGTAAAAACAGGGTATAAGAAAATAATATACCTGCATTTCCTTGTGTATGGCTAGAATCTGGAGTGATCCCTAGAAACTAGTATTCTGGTTGCCAATATTTTAGAGGGAACTGGGTGACTGGTGGAAAAGAGTTACAGGGACTTTTCTTTGAATTTTATTCTCTTTGGATTTAAACATGTGAACATATTATCTATTCAAAAACTTTTAAGCTGTAATCCCCTTTCCTGATTGCTCCTTCATATTCTGTAACTGCTCAAGTTCCACTCCTCTCTCTCAAATCTTACTTCCCCCACATCTTTAACAAACTCCTCTTCCAGTCTCGGTCAGAGTGGGTTTCTTCTTTATCCTGCACACCATCCCACTCTCAGAACGTAACTATAATGATTGACATATCTCTTCTCCCAACAAGAAAAAAAATATTCCTCTTTAAGAAAAGGTAAAGATAAAATAAATTGGGCATCCAGGGTTTATTTTTTGGCAGTGCAGGAGAGAAATAAGATCTTTGAAAAGTTCCACACTAATAATTCTAGCCCAGTCACAATTACAGCAGCATCATATTACAAACAACCTACATTTCTAAAATTAGGAAATATGTTAAATTCTAGTATAGTTACACATTGGAACACTTCTTAGCCATGAGAAATGATTGTGTAAATTTATAAGATGTCATTCAAGTAAAAAGTATTCAAGCACAAAAAAAACATGTAAAAGATAAAAGAGGCTCAGCATGGTGGCTGACGCCTCTAATCCCAACACTTTGGGAGGCTGAGCAGGCAGATTGCTTGAGCCCGGAAGTTCAAGCCCAGCCTGGGCAACATAGGGAGACCCTGTCTCTACAAAAACTAAAATTTAGCTGGGTGTGGTAGCGTGTACCTGTGGTCCCAGCTACTCAGGAGGCTGAGGCAGGAGGATCGTGTGAGCCCAGGAGGTCGAGGCTGCAGTTAGCCGTGATGGCACCACTGCATTCCTGCCTGGGTGACAGACGGAGACCCAGTCTCAAAAACATCCATGAGCACTTCCTGAAAAAAAAAAAAAAACTGACAAGAGAATCAACACACAAAAATAAATCAAAGAATTCAAGGATGGAGAAAAAAATGAGAAAATGTGGTTAGTGGTAATTTCATTCAAATATACAAAACTACTAAAATATGTGTGAATACTAAACAAAGTATGAACATTCTACCTTGTCAGTGTAAAAATAAAAATATACCTAAGATAAATTGGGGGTTGGGAGAGAAAACGTAGACAGAATTTTGGAAGTGCTAATGTCCTTATCTTTCACAGCAAGGAATCAACTGACACTTTTTATATTCGAAATAGATAGTTTAAAAAAACACACAAGGACTACAGTCTCTTAATGTTTTTCTCAAAATCTTTTCTGAACTTAAAATAAATATCGTCTCTTATGGCTAACAAACATTTGAGATTCCACAATTTCTTCAACTTAATTTTTTTTCTTTTGTCCCAGTCAAGTAAAATTAAAGTAAGTCCTTCCCACATGAAGATTATATCCTAGATTTTTTCTTCAATATCTTTTTCCTTCCTTTCCTTTCCTCCTTCTTCCTTTCTCATTAATTTCCCACCCTTCTATCCACTTATTTTATTACACAGGGATAGAAAGAGCTCTAGAATAATAGTAGTCTAACATTAAAAATTATTATTTCAGGAAGTAGAATTTGGAATGACTTTAAAAAATTCTCTTTGACTCTTTTCTTTAATCCCAGTTCATCAAAAGGACCATGATAAGAAACCAATTTTTAACAAAGCAACTACAAAGTGAGATGGTAAAGAGATAAGATATAAATCACTCTTTTAAAAATATTTATTTTTATGTGTAGTTGTACAGTATTTCAGAGAAAAGTACAGGAGAAAATACGACAGCCAATACCAAGATTTAACAGATGTTAACATCTTGCCACATTTTCTTCAGAATTTTTTTCCTGACAAGAAAGCATTGCAGAAACAGCTAACATTCCACTCCTCATCCCTTCTCCTTTCATCTTCAGATGCAATCACACCACTATTCTGAGGATAATCCTTATCATTTCCATGCATATATTTGTATTCATAAACAATATTTACTATTATTTTGTGTATTTAAAGTGTATATATATGGTACTATGTTTC
The DNA here is from genome assembly GCF_000001405.40 of Homo sapiens. Lineage (NCBI taxonomy): Eukaryota > Metazoa > Chordata > Mammalia > Primates > Hominidae > Homo > Homo sapiens. Next base: position 245,026,780 of record NC_000001.11, on the reverse strand, counting down.
CGTCCTTTTGTAATTTTTTAAATTCAACGTTGTTTTTTGAGATTTATCCAAGTTACACATGTAGTCTTAGTTCATCATTCACTTCATTCATACATGTGAACAATCACTGCATGAATAAACCTGTTTTTACAATTCATTTCTTATTGAGGGGTGTGTGGACCCAGCAATTCCCATTCCTCTTCCATGTTTTTCCATTGCACAAATGCAGACCCAGTATCGATAACAGTTTTTATAAAGCTCTCTGAGTAGCTTCCAGCTTTCTCAGATAATAACTGTCTTGGGGGAACTGTCCATGCAATCTCTCCACATTGCTCACACTTTCTACTACCTGATAAACATGAATTGCGAAATGTTATTTTAATATCTCTTCAAAACAGCACTATATGTGAAGAAGTAAAAGTAATATTTATGGTACCTCCAGTGCTCCTAGGAAAAGTTATTTCTAATCCATTACAAATAAGTTATTGTTACTATTTCTTACAGAATTTTAGACAGGACCTAGTACACTCAAGGTTCCTGCCAATTGCTAACGAAGCTGAAGTCTCCCTATCAGTAAAAGAAATAAATATTGGATACCAAGAGCCTCAGAGACTTATACTGAGTTGAAGATGGAAGCAATGAAAAAAGAGACTCACTGTATTAGCAAGTGGATACTTGGTGCTGCTGGACTGCAAAATTTGTCTAAAGATTAAGAAAATATTAGGGAAAATCTCCTATAGATAGGGCAGGTATAAAGTAAACACAGTGTACTAGTCCATTCTCATACCACTAATACTGCTATGAAGAAATACCCGAGACTGGGTAATTTATAAAGAAAAAGAGGCTTCATGGATTCACAGTTCCACATGGCTGGGGAGGCCTCACAATCATGGTGGAAGGCGAAGGAGGAGCAGAGGCACATCTTACATGGCGGCAGGAAAGAGACCGTCTGCAGGGGAGCTGCCCTTTATAAAATCATCTGATTCACTACCACAAGAACAGCATGGGAAAAACCTGCCCCTATGATTCAATTACCTCTTACCGGGTCCCTCCCACAACATGTGGGGATAATGGCAGCGACAATTCAAGATGAGATCTGGGTGGGGACACAGTGAAACCATATCACACAGAATAGTCTGGAATACTAAAAATAAGGTCGCACTGTAAAGGCATTGAAGCATAGGAACAGGACAGATGGGTGTGGCTTGGGAAAGGGGAAAGATTGGCACTTTTATTCCAGGATTGGGCCCCATCTCATTTTAGCTCACCAAATTCTTGAGTATCAACCTGTTCTGAAATTGATTAGAATGGAGTGTTAAAAAAAGTAAGTTGATATTTTTTATTTGATATTCTTATACTCTTGTGGCTTAAGTGGTGCTGGCATTTTTATTTCAATTTTATAGATAAGGAAAATGAAATAAAAAGAGGGTGACACATAGAAAATGCATGATAGAGCCAGCAACTGTCTCTACGGACTTGTGGTGTACTTTTATTCCATTAGATTACAAAAAAACTGGATTTGTTTGTGAATAAGATTAGAGTCATTTTCAAATTAAATTTATCAGCTACATGGAAAAATTATCTTCTTTACCTTAGAGGCACTCCTTGTGGGTGTATTTTGTCCCCACCAAATTAGCTTTATTTAGGGGAACCTAAATTTATTCTACTAAAACTACTCGAAATGACATTCGTTTGTTTCCAAAAATTAAATCCATACTCCAAAGGTGTGTAATTTGACTAAATTAAAAAAAAAAATCTGCATGCCAGAAAGTAAAAGTAGAGTGAAAAGATAGATGACAGACACATCATGACTAAGGCTGAGACCTTTCATATAGAAAAAGATCAATAATTCAGTGGGAAGAAATGGGGAAAAATCATAAACTGTCAGGTCAAACAAAAGGAAATACAAACAGTTTTAAGAGATATGAAAGATGTTCTAATTTAGAAAATGAAAATTAGGCTGGACATGGTGGCTCACGTCTGTAATCCCAGCACTTTGGGAGGCCAAGGTGGGTGGATCACCTGAGGTCAGGGGTTCGAGACCAGCCTGACCAATATGGTGAACCCCCATCTCTACTAAAAATACAAAAATTAGCCAGGTGGACACAAGCCTGTGATCCCAGCTTCTCAGGAGGCTGAGACAGGAGAATGGCATGAACCCAGGAGGCAGAGGTTGCAGTGAGCTGAGATCGTGCCACTGCACTCCAGCCTGGGCAACAGAGCGAGACTCTGTCTCAAAAAAAAAAAAAAGAGAAAGAAAAGAAAAGAAAAAGAAAATTAACACTGAGTTTCTATTTTTCACATATTAGATTGGGAAAAAATCCCAATGCTTGATAATTAAAGCTTGTTTCAGAAGGACTGAAGAAACTGGTACTCTCACACAAGATGAGAGACTCTATCATCAAGATAGCAACATCTACCAAAAATTGTCAAGCCCTTTGACATATTTCCAATAATTTACCGAGAAAAAGTTCTCACTTTTGTGAGATGATATGCATGCTAAGATATTCTCTGCAGCATGAGCTATTATAGCAAAAGCCTGGAAACAACTTAAACGTCCATTAGTAAGGAGATTAATTCAATATATTATGATTCATCCATACAATGAAATAAGGATAATTTTTTTTTTTTGAGATAAGAGTCTCGCTCAGCCGCACAGGCTGGAGTGCAGTGGCACAATCTCGGCTCACTGCAACCACCGTCTCCCGGGTTCAAACGATTCTCCTGTCTCAGCCTCCCAAGTAGCTGGGATTACAGGCACCCGCCATCATGCATGGCTAATTTTTGTATTTTTAGTAGAGACGGGGTTTCACCATGTTGGCCAGGGTGGTCTTGAACTCCTGACCTCAGGTGATCTGCCCACCTCGGCCTCCCAAAGTGCTGGGATTACAGGTTTGAGCCACTGCGCCCAGCCAATTTTTATATATTAATAAATAGTCAAGATATATTGATAAGTAAAAAAAGCAGAGTGCAGAATGGTTTATATAGTATCATACCATTCACGTTAAAAATAAACACATATCCTACAACTCAAAAACCAACAAAATAAAACAACCTGGTTTAAAAATGGGCAAAGACTAGACACTTCTCCAAAGAAGATGTACAAATGGCCAATAAGTACATGAAAAGATGTTCAATATTACTAATCATTAGGAAAATGCAAATCAAAGCCCCAGTGAGATACCATTTCACACCCAGTAGGATGGTTATTAGAGAAACAACAATAACAACAACACCCCCCTCCAAAAAACCAACAGAAATGACAAGTGCTGGCAAAGATGTGGAGAAAACAGAATCTCTGGGCATTGCTGGTGGGAATGCAGCATGGCGCAGCCGCTGTGGAAAACAGTACAGTGGTTCCTCAAATATCAAACACAGAACTACCACATGATCCAGCAATTCCACTCCTGGATATGCACCCAAAAGAATTAAAAGCAGAGACTGGAACAGATATCTATACACCAGTATTCATAGCAGCATTATTCACAACAGTCAGAAGATGAAAACAACCCAAATGTCCATCAATACACAGATGGATGAACAAAATGTGGGATATAAATACAATGGAATATTATTCAAAAAAGGAATAAAATTCTGACGCATGCAACAAGATGGATGAACCCTGAGAACATTACGCTACGTGAAATAAACCAGACACAAGACAAATATTGTTTGTTTGTATTTTAAAAATGGAATGCTTCACAAATTTGCATGTCATCCTCGTGCAGGGGCCATGCTAATCTCTGTAGCGTTCCAATTTTAGTATATGTGCTGCCCAAGCAAGCACAGGAAGGACAAATATTGTACTCTTCCATTGATATATGAGGCACCTAAGATAATGAAACTCATAGACACAGAAAGCAGAACGGTGGTTGCCACAGGCTGCGAGAGGGTGGGATATGGAATTATTGTTAAATGGGTACAGAGTTTCAGTTTGGGAAGATGAAAAAGCCTAAAATGGATAGCGGTGATGGTTGTAGAGTAATGTTAATGCCACTGCATTCTGTACTTAAAATGATAAATTTTAGGTTATCTATATTTTACCACAGTAAAAAATACACACATGCACACACACACACACGCACACGCACATGCACATGCATACTCATACATATTTGCATGGAGAATCTCTGGAAGAATTAGAGAAAACTGTAACAAACTTTGCCTTTAGAAAGGGGAACTGGATAGGTAAAAAAGAGATTTATTTATCACTATATATTATTTCTACCTTTAGAATTTTATCCCATGTACATATATCATCTATTCAAAAATTTAATTTTCAATCAGTCTTCTTAACTTCTAAACACAGAGCAGGAAAATATATATAAATGAAAATGTGGCTGGGTGCGGTGGCTCATGCCTGTAATTCCAGTACTTTGGGAGGCTGAGGCGGGCGGGTCACTTGAGGCCAGGAATTCGAGACCAGCCTAGCTATCATGGCAAAACCCTGTCTCTACTAAAAGTATGGAAAAAAAAAAAAATTAGCCGGGGGTGGTGGCACACACCTGTAATCTCACTATTCCTGGTACTTGGGAGGCTGAGGCAGGAGAATCGCTTGAACCCAGGAGGTGGAGGTTGCAGTGAGCCGAGATCACTCCACTGCGCTCCTGCCTGGGCAATAGAGTGAGACTGTCTGGAAAAAAAAAAAAAAAGTCTGTGTTTTATATGAGGCAAAATCAGAATGTCCCTAATTAGTGATATTGAAAACCTGCCCAATGTTTTTCAAGGCGCTAGCTTTCGAAAACTATTTAACAAGGAAATGAAAAAGGAAAATAAAATGCTTCAGATCTTAAGAGATCGATATGGAACATACGGAAATAAGTAAAAAGTTCTAGCCAGGTGTGGTACGTGCTTATAGTCCCAGCTCGGGAGGCTGAGACAGGAGGATCGCTTGAGCTCAGGGTTTCAAGGTCAGCCTGGGCAACATAAAGAGAGCTTGTCTCTAAAACAAAATATGTATTTTAAAGTTCTTATGAGAGTTTTGTTACATACAGCATAACATTGCTCATCCAGATTAAACAGGGGCAAAACAAGTCTGAGTTATTTACTTTAAGAACATAAAATGGGGCCAGGCACAGTGGCTCACGTCTGTAATCCCAGCACTTTGGGAGGCTGAGGCAGGCGGATGACTTGAGGCCAGGAGTTTGAGAACAGCCTGGGCAACATAGCAAGACCCTGTCTCTACTAAAAATACAAAAATTAGATGGGCGTGGTGGTGGGCACCTGTAATCCCAGCTACTTGGGAGGCCAATGCAGGAGAATTGCTTGAACTCAGGAGGCAGAGGTTACAATGAGCCGAGATTGGGCCACTACAATCCAGCTTGAGCCACACAGTGAGATGCCATCTCAAAATAATAATAATAAAAACTATATATATATAAAGTAGAATAATTATAATAGCTAATACTGTTCTTAGCTTTAAATCCCAAGCTAATATTGTTCTAAGAGCTTTAAAAATGTCCACTCACAATAGTGGTTCTCAAACTTTTTGGTCTGATAACTCCTTTTACAAACTATCAAAAATTATCAAGGCGCTCAAAGCGTCTATGTTTGTGTGAGTTATATGCATCTATATTTACTATCATATTAGAAATTAAAGCTTACATTTTAAAAATATGTATTTATTAATTCATTTAAAAATCATAAATCAACCCAAATGTTTACATAAATAGTTGTTAATTTTTTAAACTATATTTTCCAAAACAAAAAGTATATTTAGAAGAATGGCATTGTTTTACATTGTTTTACATACGTTCAATGTAAATATGTAACACCTGGCTTCACAGAGGACAGCTGCATTCTCATATCTAGTTCTGCGTTCAATCTGTTGTAAAACTGCACGTCATGTAGCCTTTGAAAAACTCCAGTATAAGGCTGGGTGTGGTGGCTCACGCCTGTAATCCCAGCACTTTGGGAGGCCAAGGTGGGTGGATCACCTGAGGCCAGGAGTTCATGACCAGCCTGGACAACATGGTGAAACCCCGTCTCTACTAAAAAAAAAAAAAAATACGAAAATTAGCCGGGCGTGGTGGCGGGCACCTGTAATCCCAGCTACTTGGGAGGCTGATGCAGGAGAATTGCTTGAACCCGGAAGGCGGAGGTTGCAGTGAGCTGAGATTGCACCATTGCACTCCAGCCTGGGTGACAGAGCGAGACCCTGTCTAAAAAAAAAAAAAAAAAAAAAAAAAGAAAGAAAAACTCCAGTATATACTTGTGGAAACAGTGAGAATGAAAAGAACAAATACTGTCTTAAATTTATTATGAAAATAGTTATGACTTCACAGACCCCGGAAAGGGTCTTGGGGGCACTCTGAGAACTAATTACTTATACTATGAAACCTAGGAGGCAAAGGTACATGGAGGCACAAAGAGAATAACAAAGTGACTCGCAGTCACGGAGCTGGGATGGGAACCCAGGAAGTCTGATTCCAGACCTCAGGACTGCCCCTCAGAGGTGGAAGGGCAGTAGCAGGAGCCCAGCTCATAATGCTTTTGACAGTGGGCTGGTGGCTGCCCAGCATTTGGAATACCAGACTTTCCCTTTATCTAATGCAATACAATTTCAAATCAAATATTTCAATTTGTGCAAAGCAGAGATAAGGGAAAGGGAAAGTAGCCACCACAAAATTCTAAGACCTAGACCTCTCAGGGGACCTAGATCAGCCCTACACAGGAAGTAACACCAAACCTCCACCTGAGGGATAAAGCAGTTAGGGGAGGAACAGCCAGTGCCTGGGGGCGGGGGGCGTCTCCAGGAACAGCTCTCTCTGTCCTGCCCCCACTGAGCCATTACATATCTCTCCCTCCGTTCAAAGACACTTCTTTCTTTTTTATTTTTAGACAAAGCCTCACTTAGTCGCCCAGGCTGGAGTGCAGTGGTGCAATCTCAGCTCACTGCAATCTCCACCTCCTGGGTTCAAGAGATTCTAATGCCTCAGCCTCCCAAGCAGCTGGGACTACAGGTGCACACCACCATGCCCAGCTAATTATTTTTATTTTTTAGTTTTTAGTTTTTATTTTTAGGAGAGATGAGGTTTCACCATGTTGGCCAGGCTGGTCTTGAATTCCTGACCTCAGGTGAGCCACCCACCTTGGCCTCCCAAAGCTTAATTTCCAATTTATAAAGAGTGGCCGAGTGCAGTGGCTCACACCTGTAATACCAACACTTTGGGAGGCTAAGGAGGGTCTATCACTTGAGGCCAGGAGTTCAAGACCAGCCTGGGCAACATAGCAACACCCCTGTCACTACAAGAAATAATAATTAGCTGGGCGTGGTAGTCCTAGCTGCTTGGGAGGCTGAGGCAGGAGGATCACTTCAGGAGTTCAAGGTTACATACAGTGAGTTATGATCAAGCCACTATAATCTAGCCTGGAGGACAGAGTAAGACCCTATCTTTAAACGAATTTTTTAAAAAGAGTGGATGGTAATGATACCAGCAGCATGAGAACATTCATTATAAACTTTAAAGTGATATACAAATTAACACAGGAAAAATTATAAAGCTACATTCATCCATGTTGTTATTCCTCAAATATACTCAGCAGCAATATTTTAATGCTAAAAACAATAACAATTTTCTTAGTAACCATCTTTAATTAACAAAGCAGACTCTTTAGGTTGTAAGAACATCCACTTTCCCTCAGGGCCTCGGTAAAGTTATTTTAACTTTCAATGGAAAAAAAGATTCAGCCCATAAACACGTTTTCTTTTACTGAATTGGCCCTTTTACCAAAAAAGGCCTGGCATCATTGCTGTCAGTGATCGGGAGATTTTCTTTTCACTGCTACTGTCAGGAAGCCTGAAGGCAGAAGAGAAGCCCCTGATGTCTCTAAAGAGTAGGAGTGGGAGTGTGGGCAGTGTGGCATGCCCACAGTGTAGCAAGAGACTTGGCGTTAGAGAAACCTGGTGTGACATGGAGCAAACGATTTACCTTCTCCTTGTCTCTGGAAACCGGAGATGCCAACCCTTAACCCATAAATAAAAAGATTAAAATGAGGTAATCCACGTGAAGCCTCTGGCACCCAACTACACGTAGTGTGTTAGATGACAAGCCTCAAGCAGATGCTGGTTTCTTTTCTCTCTTTTCCCTCTCTCTCATAATGCCATACTTTCCCTGACTTCTCTAACAATACCTCTGTCCCCCGCCCCCAGGAGGAGAACCCTTCAAGGAGAGGTCTGAGGTCAAGGCACTTGTCATTCATGTAGTTAGTTATTCAAATTGCAGGCCGGGCTGCCTGCTGCACCCCCTCCCTAACCCTACCACCACCACCAGCACCCTGCCCACTCATTTCCTACTGGGATACCCACAGGAAGGCCTGGTGTTCCACAATGTCATTCCCACAGAATGCAATGTGACCACAGCCACCGGAGCTGTATGGTGCTGCAGCTCTGATGGCACTGGTTTATAAGCATCAAACAGTTCCTTTCCAGAACCATTTTCAAACCACTTCCCACTGCTTTGCTGGCCTCTCTACTAGGTTCTGGTCTTGAGATTGCAATCTCATCAAATAACCCTCATTTAGCCCGGCCTCCTGAAAGGATGGTTTCATTGCCTTTTTTTTTTTTTTTTTTTTTGAGACAGAGTCTCGCTCTGTCGCCCAGGCTGGAGTGCAGTGGCATGATCTCAGCTCACTGCAACCTCTGCCTCCCGGGTACAAGTGATTCTTCTGCCTCAGCCTCCAAAGTAGCTGGGATTACAGGTGCCTGCCATCGTGCCCGGCTAGTTTTTGTATTTTTAGTAGAGACAGAGTTTCACCATGTTGGTCAGGCTGGTCCTGAACTCCTGACCTTAGGTGATCTGTCCACCTTGACCTCCCAAAGTACTTGGATTACAGGTGTCAGCCACCACGCCTGGCTTCATTGCTTTTCTTTGATGTGTGTGGCACAAACCCTACAATTCTTATTAGCGTCTAATCTCTTCTCTTAAGGGGTTTTTTGTTTGTTTTGTTTCAGTCCCAAGCTGTGTCCTCCATTTCAGACCTACCAGTATTCATGTCTTCTCTTGCCTTTTTATGTTCTTCTGTTTGGGTTCTTTTTGCTATTTTACAGGGGGAGTGTGTCATCGCATAAGCATTACTGTTTCCTTGCAATATCCTATTTGTGGCCTTATAATACATATTTATGTGTTTTACAAAGCAAATGCTGTTCCTTCACTCAACGACTATTTCCTGAGTACCAACTATGTGCCAAGCACTAAAGCTAAAATAGAGTTCATCTCAGTCACAGAGTTTACAATTATAGGTTGGAACAGGCAATGAGAATACAGTATATTGTTTCTACCAGAGTATGAAGAATAAGAAACAGTACTTATCAAAGCAATAGCTAGCAAAGACCTTTTACGGAGCATGGAAAATAAATACTTAAAAGAGCATAATAAATCCAAGGTACAGTGTAAAAAGAGAAAATAGCTCTCTTGTATCTTATGACTTGTATCAGTAATTTAAAAGTGTAACAAAAAAAAAAATATTTCCACACCTCACATCCACTGTATTATTCGACTCATGGTCAAAGACTTCAAATGCCTCTTTGATTTTTTTGTGAAATTCTGCTACTATTATCTCTGCAAAAGACAAAGTAAATAAAAATTAGTTTACTTTAGCTTTGAATTCAAAACAAAAATTCTAATAACCAGACTAGCAATCTTAATAAGTAAGCATATGAAGAACCCTCTCCTTATATTTATGTATCATTTAGCATGTTTAACTTCCTCTGGAGATGTCAAAGGATACACTGTATTTGTAAACATTTTTTCTGAGGCAAAATATACATATGGTAAAGGTGCACTGATCTTAAATACACAGCTTAATTAAGTGTTTACATACGCATATACTCATGGAACCACTCAACCACTCCAATCACGGTGACAGAATATTTCCAGCAGCGGCCTCTCTATCTCAAGTCCTTTGGGTAGAGTCGTAGCCTGAGAGGCACAGTGAAACCAATAAAAACAGATACTGTTTGCTTATCAACAGTGTTCCCTGCCTACCTTGCCTTATTCTTTGCTTGTGGAGTTGGGGGAAGAAAGGCATAAAAACCAACATGACATTTACTCAAAAAGCTTTCAAACTAGTTTTGGACTATGACTTACATATATGAAACACTCATATATATATTCAGTAAACAGTTACCTAGTACTTACAATGTGCTAAGGTTATGGCAAGGAACAAAATAGAAAAAAATTCCTGCCTCCATAGAGCTACTTTTATTGGGAAAGAAATATAAGCTCGTAATATTCGATAAAATACATAGTAAGGCAAATGGTGTGAGAAATAGAGGAAGGAATAAACAGGGTAGGGACACGAGGAGTGCTGGGCGTGGGTGGGGGAGAATGGGTTGATACGGTGGTCTTAGAGAGGCCTGCCTCTGTGGTAAGGCGACCCTTGGGCAGACACCTGAAGGAGGGGAAGGAACCAGCCTTATGAACAACTGCAGAGTTTTCAGGCAGAGAGAACAGTAAGTGCAGAAGAGTAAGAAATAAGATCAGAAAGGTATGAGTTTGAGGGTGATTGTAAAGAGGCCTTGGCTAGGTGCGGTGGCTCACACCTGTATTCCCAGCACTTCGGGAGGCCGAGGAGGGTGGTTCACCTGAGGTCAGGAGTTTGAGACCAGCCTGGCCAACAGGGTGAAACCCTGTCTCTACTAAAAATACAAAATTAGCCAGGCATGGTGGCGCATAACTGTAATCCCAGCAAGTTGGGAGGCTGAGGCAGGAGAATTGCTTGAACCTGGGAGGCGGAGGTTGCAGTGAGCCGAGATTGCGCCATTGCACCATTGCACTCCAGCCTGGGCAACAAGAACAAAACTCCATCTCAAAAAAAAAAAAAAAAAAAAAAAAAGCCCTGTAGGCTACTTTAAGGATTTCGGCTTTTACTCTGAATGAGATGAGAAGCCGCTGAAGGGTTTTTCCAGGCAGCACAGTGATGCGGTCTGCTGATCACTTTGGCTATTATGAAAAGGGTGGAAGCAGAGAGACCAGTCAGGAGGCCTCTGCAATACTCCAGGTGAGAGATGTGGGCCAGAATGGTAGCAGTGAAGGTGGTGAGAAATGTCAGCATTCTGGATATATTCTTTCTTTCTTTTTTTTTTTTTTTTGAGACAGAGTCTCTCTCTGTTGCCCAGGTTGGAGTGCAGTGGCTTGATCTCGGCTCACTGCAACCTCCACCTCCCGGGTTCAAGCGATTCTCTTGCCTCTGCCTCCTGAGTAGCTGGGACTACAGGCGCACACCACCATGCCCAGCTAATTTTTTGTATTTTTAGTAGAGACAAGGTTTCACCATGTTGGCCAGGATGGTCTCGATCTCCTAACCTCATTATCCACCCGCCTCAGCCTCCCAAAGTGCTGGGATTACAGGCGTGAGCCACCGCGCCCGGCAGATTCTGGATATATTCTAAAGAGCAGAGCCAACAAGATTTGCTGATAAATTTTATGTTAGGTGCAGAGAGAAAGAAAAGGGTTAAGGCCAACTCCAAGGTGTTTGGCTGAGTGAAAGAATAAAGGACAATAATGTAATTAAGTCTCTAAATTGTGCTAAGCATGGGAGCTCATGCCTATAGCAGTTTGGTAGGCCCAGGCAGGAGGATTGCTTGAGGTCAGCAGGTCGAGGCTGCAGTGAGCCATGATCACACTACTGCACGCCAGCCTGGCGACAGAACCAGACCTTGTCTCAAAGAAAAGAAAAAGGTGTCAAAATGTATCAAACAGTAAATACAGTAGGACACCCAGAAAGAAAGAGATTAGGCATGAGTTTAGGTAATTATTTCAATTAGAAATATAATACCACCCAATAGTAGAAAATAGGAAATTTTAAAATCAGTCAAATTCTCTTCCCCCTAACATAACTACTCATCATTTTGCTGTATTTTCTTCCAATCTTTCTTCATACATATTCTTTTATATATGGCATTGAATAACTACCATTCACTCACTCAACAAATATGTACTGAATAAACACTATACACCAGGTTCTACGTCAGGTACTGTATATACTTTTACAACCGTAGAGAAAAAAAGAAACCAAAGCTCAGAGAGGCTAAGCACCTTGCCCAAGATCACAGAGTTATTGAGTGGCAGAGCTGGACTGAACTCAGATCTTCCTCATTTGAACAATCCTGCTCTTCTCCCCCCACACCCCACCCCACCTCACCTCACTCCACCCCATCCCACCTGTTAGTACTTACAGTATAAAATCTTAACTCCTTAATTACTTCACGTAAATGTTATATTTTTCCAGGTTGCAACATAATTTACACAACCTTCCATTTTTAATGGTACCAAAATAATACACCATAATTTATTGATATTATTTTTTCTTTATTATAACACAGCAATAAACTTTTGCTAATTTAACAACAAATAAATATTACCTCATTATTTAAATTTACACTGCTTTGATTACAAATGAATCTGAATAATGATCCATATGTTTGTTTACCATCTCTGTTTTCTATGTTATGAATTGTCTATTCATGTTCTCTGCTCAACCCTACTGGGATCTTCAATTATTTCTTTACAATTTGCATGACCTGTTTGAATAATAAAGACTTAACCCTATGTCGAAGTTACTGCAAACAATTTTCCAGGTCAGTTGTTTGAACTTGTTTTTCTAAAATGAAAACAGCTCCATTTCCTTTCTGATGATCAAAATCATACACAATTACTGGAGGAAAAAGACACAGATGAAAGTTTAAGTTAAAATCACTTCAAATTCTACCCAGAGTTAACTACTCTTTTCTTTTTTTCTTTTTTTTTGTCTTTTTTTTTTTTTTTTTTGAGATGGAGTCTTGCCATGTCGCCCAGGCTGGAGTGCAGTGGCATGATCTCGACTCACCACAACCTCCACCTCCCAGGCTCAAGAGATTTTCCTGCCTCAGTCTCTGGAGTAGCTGGGATTACAGGTGTGCACCACTACCGCCAAGCTCACTTTCGTATTTTTAGTAGAGACGGGGTTTCACCATATTGGTCAGACTGGTCTCAAACTCCTGACCTCAAATGATCCAACTGCCTCAGCCTCCCAAAGTGCTGGGATTACAGGTGTGAGCCTCTGCGCCCGGCCCAGAGTTAACTACTTTTAATGTTGTTCTCTAATCTAATTTCTCACTCAGCAATAAATTGGATCTTTCATTCTCAATAAATATTCATTACCTTATTATTTTTAGTGACTGCCTGATATTCCATTATAGAGCTTTATCAAAATGTATTTAATCAACCCTCCAATTGTGGATGTTTAGTTTCTGATTTTTCATTATTATAATCAATAATCAATTCTTTATTGAACAATCCTGCCCAATTCACCTTTGTATATTTGCCTTATCTCACTGAAATTCAACGAGTTGAACACAGTTGAACTAGCAAGGTTCTTATTAGCCATAACAGTATCTTGGGAAAATCTCTCTGGTTACGACACTGCCACTGCACAAAGCTGATGTTTGGTTTTTAAATTTAAGGTCATTTTAAAAGTACATTATCCTTTATTTTTAGGTAGTCACATCTGTTGAGATTTCTTCTCATACTGTAAAGTTGAGAAACTTATCCTTTGAAAGGCCCAAGAGAGAGACAAAGAAAAATCACCCTTTTTCTCGAGGTCTGGCAAATACTTAATTCTATTTTCTTCAACAATTTACAGATAGATTTACTGTGGTTTGTTTGTTTGTTCTTTGTTTTTTGTTTTTGACACTGGACAACACACTGAGTAATTCATCTGAAGTTTATTTTGATGTGATTCAAAGTGAAAGATTAGCTTTTCCTACTTTACCAGGTGCTTGATTCCTTGCACTTTATCGTGTATTATCATCTTTTATGTGATTGAGATTAATTCTATCAATTGTCCATTCTGTTAATTCTATTCTGATTTGCATTTCTAGTCTTGTGCCATTACCATAGCATTTTATTTATTGCCACTCTATTAGCCTCTTTTTAGGAATGTTCATCAATACCAATTTATTATTCCAAAGGAAATACAGAAATCCATATACAATTTAGAAATTCCAAATGAAATACCATTGAAAGTTTTATTGCTATTGCAATCAGCTATACATTGAGAATTAACATTTTAGAATAGTTTTCACATCTAAGAGGTGTATATTTAGATATATATATCCCTTATAGATCTCTAAATTAAATATTACATATTTTGAGGTTCGTCATGTAAGTCACACACAATCCTCCAAGAAGATGATGCCTGAGTATTTTATGGGTTTTGTAGATATTGTGATGAAATATTTTTTCGAGCCCTGTAATTTCAAGTGTTTGAGGTAAAAATTGAATTTTTGCTATTGATTATATATTTCCTGAAAAATGTATTAATTAAAATCTTTCAGTTGATTATTTTATATTTTCTAATAATACTTTTTGTATTATCTTCTTATTGTATCTTATTTCTCTGTCATGACTCATGGCACTGGCCAGCACTACCAAAGCAACATTAATGCATAAAGTGATAATAATCCATTTTATAAAAATATAATTATTATTATTAATAATCTAGAACACTAGTCTTTTACCAATAAGTATAATGCTGACTTTTGTTTTGAAATAGGTAAAACTTATAATTTATAATTTTATCCTTCCATCTCTAAAGAACAGGCACTAACTTTATTTTTTAGTTTCCAAACTTTATTTGCATATTTTAAAAAGTGTGCATTCCAATAATTTAAAACATTTGAACAAAACAAATGGCACTCTGATTAAAGTGCATTTACAGCCTGCAAGGCATGAATTTTTAATAACTTCTTATCAATATATTTTCTAAACTGTGTTCTGTTTAACACTCATTCCTCAAGGTGCTTCTCTTGAACTCCTGACCTCGTGATCCACCTCCCGTGACCTCCCAAAGTGCTGGGATTACAGGCATGAGCCACTGCGCCCAGCCAGAGCTTCTCAATAAAAGGCTTCAGTGATCAAAAATGTCTGGAAAACTCTGAATATTATGGTTTATATATAATATTTATATGTAGTTCTATATGGTCATTTATAGTGTGTATTAGTATATTAAAGTCTTTGGAATGTTCTACAATCATGAAACTTAACTTTGTTCAACACAGCATTTCCCAAAGTCACTTGATCATCGAGTCTCTTTTTTCAAATTATCATCTATCAGGAATAATTAATGCCTTAACTGAAATCTAGGACTACCCTAACTCAGGAATCCTTACCCACTGGACATTGCAATACAAGTTAACCATCCCTAATCTGAAAATGCTAAATCCAAAATGCTCCAAAACCAAAACATTTGGAGGTCCCAGGCATTTCAGATAAGGGTCACTCAACCTGTACAGTATACAGTAACCTTCTAATCAAAACACAGCATTGCAGGCAGAGACTGAAAGTCCGGTGTTTGCTGTTGCTAACAGCTGACACAGGTATTCTGGTGATGCCACTGTGCTGCTTCATTACCTTGAACACATTATTTTTTCACTTCATGAATGGTACTTCATATTTTTTACTGGTAAGTACTTCCGTGTGAATAAATGTAAGAAGATGATTGCTTATCAATATCAATTCCTATCAATTTAGGGTCAGGAATGATGCTGATGCCAAACAACCAGCTTGTCCTCATGGGTGGCTGACATAGTGATATTTTTGCTTTCTGATGGTTCTATGTAGAGAAACTTTGTTTCATCTACAAATTATTTAAAATACTACATAAAATTACCTTCAGGCTATGTCTATAGGGTTTATATGAAACATAAATGAGTTTCGTGTTTAGACTTGAATCCCTTTCCCAAGATATCTCATTATGTATATGCAAAGATTTCAAAATCCAAAAAAATTAGAAATCCAAAATACTTCTGGTACCAAGTATTTTGAAAAAGGGATACTCAAGGCTGGGCGCGGTGGCTCACACCTGTAATCCCAGCACTTTGGGAGGCCGAGGCAGGCAGATCAAGAGGTTAGAAGATCGAGACCATCCTGGCTAACACGGTGAAACCTCATCTCTACTAAAAATGCAAAAAATTACCCAGGTGTGGTGGCGGGTGCCTGTAGTCCCAGCTACTGGGGAGGCTGAGGCAGGAGAATGGCGTGAACCCGGAAGGCAGAGCTTGCAGTGAGCCGAGATCGCACCACTGCACTCCAGCCTGGGCAACAGAGTGAGACTCCGTCTCAAAAAAAAAAAAAAAAAAGAAAGAAAAAGGGATACTCAGCCTGTAAAGTGGATGGATTAAAGGGGTACCCCAAAATACTGATCCTCTTATCTCTCATCTCTCAGTGTGGCCAGATGAAGTCAGGCCCCAGAAAGCAGTCTATTCCAGAGCTTCCCACAGGGGGACCAGGGCACGACAGGCTCCGATGGCAGGCCTCCTGTTCTGCACAGCGACAACCACAACAAATGCCATCAGGCACCCACTGCTCCCCATTGCCAAGTGTGTGACATATCATGTGGTCTTCTCCTTCAGAGGCCAGATACAGAATGCACCATTACCCAGTAGAGAGCTCCTGGAGAAGTTTCTGTTCCAGGTGCCCAAAGAGCATAGTGTTCATTCCAGTGTGCAACTACTTCAAACTGACAGGGCTCATGGCTCTAGGAAGCAGTCCCAAATCTTTATCTTCACATACTATGGGCTACTTCCATGCCTCCGTAACTGATATGTCCTTTCAGTAGCAGCCAAGCTTGTTGTGCGGCCCTAAACACACATGCATGAGAGGTCGGGAGCGGTGGCTCATGCTTGTAATCCCAGCACTTTGGGAGGCCGAGGTGGCCAGATCACTTGAGGTCAGAAGTGTGAGACCAGCCTGGCCAACATGGTGAAACCCTGTCTCTACTAAAAATACCAAAATTAGCTGGACGTGGTGGCGCACGCCTGTAGTCCCGGCTACTTAGGAAGCTGAGGCAGGAGAATCACTTGAACCTGGGAGGCAGAGGTTGCAGCGAGCCTGAGCCAAGATTGTGCCACTGCACTCCAGCCTGGGCAACAGAGAGAGACTCCATCTCAAAAACAAACAAACAAAAAACACATGCATCATATATAAATTAAATCTTCATTACTTTGAAATAATTGATATGAGACAGTTCAACTGGATTAAAAAATCATTTGGGGGGCTGGGCGCAGTGGCTCACGCCTGTAATCCCAGCACTTTGGGAGGCCGAGGAGGGTGGATCAGGAGGTCAGGAGATCGAGACCATCCTGGCTAACAAGGTGAAACCCCATCTCTACTAAATGTACAAAAAATTAGCCGGGCATGATGGCGGGCGCCTGTAGTCCCAGCTACTTGGGAGGCTGAGGCAGGAGAATGGTGTAAACCCAGGAGACAGAGCTTGCAGTGAGCAGAGATCGTGCCACCGCACTCCAGCCTGGGTGACAGAGCGAGACTCCAACTCAAAAAAAAAAAAAAATCGTTTGGATTATTAGAAAATTTTCCAAGTTATATTGGTTAATTAAAGGAGAAGTTTTTAGATGATATAATTTCAACTGGTTTGAAATATTCCAGGCAGGAGTATCACTGACAAAGGCACAGTGAAAAAGCACAATCCAGCCGGGCACAGTGGCTTATGCCTGTAATCCCAGCACTTTGGGAGGCCGAGGCAGGCGGATCACAAGGTCAGGAGTTCGAGACCAGCCTGACCAACATGGTGAAACCCCTGTCTCTACTAAAAATACAAATTAGCCGGGCGTGGTGGTGCGAGCCTGTAATCCCAGCTACTCAGGAGGCTGAGGCAGGAGAATCACTTGAACTTGGGAGGTGGAGGTTGCAGTGAGCTGAGGTGGTGCCACTGCACTCCAGCCCGGGTGACAGAGCGAGACTCAGTCTCAAAAAAAAAAAAAAAAAAAAAAAAAGAAAAGCATAATCCTTGGGAAACTACAAAAATTTGTGCGAGGGCCAGGTGCAGTGACTCATGCCTCTAATCCTAGCACTTTGAGAGGCCAGGCTGGGGGCACTGCTTGAGCCCAGGAGTTTGGGGCCAGCCTAAGCAACATAGCGAGACCTCACTTCTACATACACACACACACAAAATTTTTTAAAAAGCAATTAGCCAGGCATGGTGGCACATGCTTATAGTCCCAACTACTCGGGAGGCTGACATGGGAGGATCCCTTAAGCCCAGGAGTTCAAGGTTGCAGTGAGCTATGATAGCACCACTGCACTGCAGCCTGAAGGATCTTGCTCTGAAAATTTAAAAAAAAAAAAAAAAAAGTGTGAGAACATGTTAAGAGATCACATTTTTGAGATAGGTAGGGGCCTAGTTCATATTTTGATTTTTTAATGGTTGGGAAAAATGCTTTTACATTTCTGCATGAACAGTTACTCATTGGTAGTAAATGATCAAAAATTGAAGAGCTCATATTAAAGATTTTTTAAAATCAGGAATTGAGTACAACTATTTCAAGCAAAAAGTTTGATATTAAAAAGTAACACGTTGGGAAGCAAGCTCAAGTTCCACCTTTAACATTTTAAATACATTTGGAACTTTTAAAAAAGGGTCATCATTTTAAAATTTCCTAATGCTCTGTTTTATTTTCTTATAAATTTTTTTACATAATGAAATACATAACAAAATTTTTTAACATAATGATTTTTTTAATAATCAAGCCTCATGTAGAGTCCCAAAGCTCATCTAGTTTTACCAGATATTGTGTGCCACACAAATATTATTTTCCATGCTCAGGGTTTTTGTTTGTTTCTTTGTTTTTGAGACAGAGTCGTGCTCTGTCCCAGGCTGAAGTGCTGTGGTGAGACCATGGCTCACTGTAGCATCAAACTCCCAGGCTCACGCAATCCTCCCGCCTCAGCCACCTGAGTAGCTGGAACTACAGGCACAGACCACCATGCCTGGCTAATTTTTTTTAATTTTTGTTTTCATTTGTAGAGACAAGGTCACTCTGTGCTGACCAGGCTGGTTTTGAACTCCTGGCCTCAAGCAATCCTCCCACGTTGGCCTCTCAAAGTCCTGGGATTACACACGTGAGCCACTGAGCCTGGCCAATGTTTAGGTTTTAAAGTGATAAAAGCTGAGAAGCACTACCCCAAAGTCATTACCCATCTTGAAGTCCCTTTCAGAACTGGCTGCTCATTCTCCCGTGGCTTACCTATCTCAGGGACTTGGGGAAGGTTAGCAATAGAGAGCTCCCCATTGCTACTCATAGCCCCATACTCCTAATCTGCCATATTTTTTGCCAGCTTCTCTAATGAAGGAAATTTTCAAACACACAGAAAAGTTGAAAGCTTAGTGTTACAAGCAACTCTATACCCACCGCCTAAACTATTGTTAATATTTTGCCATTTTTTGATTCCTCTTTCCATGTCTGTCTGTCTCTAAGTCAATTGCAGACATCAGAATAATTCATCCCTAAATACTTCAGCATATCTCCTAAAAATAAAGACATTCTCCTGCATAATCCCAATGCTATTATGACATCTTTAAAAATTAACAAAAATTCACTAAGATCATCTAATATCTATTCCATATTCAAATGTCTCCATCTGTCCCTAAATGTCTCATAGGTATTTTTTTCATACTAAAATCCAATCAAAGATTATGTACTGCATTTGGCTGTTACATATTATTTTGTTCTCTTTGAAACTAAAACAGTCCTCCATCCTTCCCCACCCCTCCCCACACACATGAAATTAGCTTGTTGAAGAGACCAGGCTTTATAGCATCATACAGAATGGCCCACAACCTGGACTTGTCTGGGAGCATCCTTGTTTCAACTTCATATTAAAAACTACTACTCTATTAAGGTTCATCACTTGAGGACACATAATCTACTATTCCTTCTCACTGCTATCTTCTACTGATTCCCTGATCACAGTCCTCCAAATTTCTCATTCTAACAAATTCATCTTCCTAATTCTATTTGATCATCAACACCTTTCAACCTTTCTGGGGTTTTTTGTTGTTGTTGTTGTTGTTGTTGTTTGTTTGTTTTTGAGACAGAGTCTTGCTCTGTTGCCCAGGCTGGAATTCACTGGCGCAATCCCAGATCACTGCAACCTCCACCTCCTGGGTTCAAGCGATCCTCCCACCTTAGCTCCCCAAGTAGCTAGGACTGCAGGCCTGTGCCACCATGCCCAGCTAATTTTTGTGTTTTTAGTAGAGACAGGTTTTTGCCATGCTGCCC
Source organism: Homo sapiens (assembly GCF_000001405.40). Taxonomy (NCBI): domain Eukaryota; kingdom Metazoa; phylum Chordata; class Mammalia; order Primates; family Hominidae; genus Homo; species Homo sapiens. The sequence continues at coordinate 245,006,742 of NC_000001.11, read as the reverse complement.
AGGCTGGTCTCAAACTTCTGAGCTCAAGCAATCCACACATCTCAGCCTCCCAAAGTGCTGGGATTACAGGCGTGAGCCAGTGCACCCGGCCATCTACTTATAAACCCTTCTGAACTCTGTTCTTTCCCTTCCATTTCCATTGTCATTGCTTACGATTAGACTACAATCCCAGCACTTTGGGAGGCCTAGGTGGGTGGATCACTTGACATCAGGAGTTTGAAACCAGCCTGGCCAACATGATAAAACCCCACCTCTACTAAAAATACAAAAAAAAATTAGCTGGGTGTGGTGGCATGCGCCTGTAATCACAGGCTGAGGCAGGAGGATCACTTGAACATGGGAGGTGGAGGTTGCAGTAAGTGGAGATCGCACCATTGCACTCCAGGCTGGGAGGCAGAGCGAGACTCTGTCTCAAAAATAAATAAATAAATAAATAAACACTCATCACTTCCAGCTAAATTAATGTAGTCACTTCCTGCCTTTTTGCCTTTAGTCTCCTTTCTCTCACTTCCCATTCCACCCATCAAACCATAATCCACATTTTGCTAGGATGATCTAAAATGCAAATTTAGTAATTTGACCGTCTGGTTTAAAATCCTCCAATGGTTCGCAAGGCCTTTCAAACTAACATTCAGACTCCTTAACCAGGCGCACAAAGCCCTTTATGAACTTAGGCTCCTACCTATCTCAAAAATGTGATCTCTTCACACTTTTCCACACAGATGCACTAGGCAGGAAGTCTCTGTAGTGTCCCAGTGATAATGCTTTTTCCCAGTGCCTTTGTGATGGACACTCCTGCCTGGAATATTGCCCTCCGCCTTTGTGACGGACACTCCTGCCTGGAATATTGCTCTCCTCCTTCCTGGCTATCTCCCATTCGTCACTCACGTTTAAGAGTAACTGACCTTTTGAAGGCTTCCCTTCTCTTTTTTGTTAAGTACCCTCCTATGTAATCATGTAGCATACATGCTATCTCTATCATAATAGTCTATCAAACCATATTATAATTAGCAGTTTACTTATTTGTCTCACTTTCCATACTGTAAACACCTTGAGAATAACTCTGATAGTACCTGTAAACCTACTAAAAACTCAATAAGGCCGGGTGCCAGTGGCTCACGCCTGTAATCCCAGCACTTTGGGAGGCCGAGGCAGGCAGATCACTCAAGGCCAGGAGTTCAAGGCCAGCCTGACCAACACGTTGAAATCCCGTCTCTAACAAAAATTAGCCAGGTGTGGTGGTGTGCGCCTGTAATCCCAGCTACTCAGGAGGCTGAGGCATGAGAAAAACTTGAACCTGGGAGGCAGAGGTTACAGTGAGCCGAGATCACACCACCACACTCCAGCCTGGGTGACAGAGTGAGGCTCCGTCTAAAAAAAAAAAAATTAATACCAATCTACCAATCCTTCACAAAATCTTCCCAAAAATTGAAGAGACGGAAGCACTGCCCAACTCATTCTATAAGGCCAGTATTAACATGATTTAAAAAAAAAACAAAACTGAGACATAAGAAGAAAACTACAAACCAACATCCATTATAAATATAAATGCAAAATCCTCAACAAAACACTTGAAAACATAATCCAGCCACTTTATGGGGGATTATCCACTATGACCAAATGGGATTTCTCCCGAGAATGAACATATGAAAACCAATCACCATAATACACCACATTAATAGAACGAAGAGGAGCAAAAAAACCATGTCATCTCAATAGACACAGAACAAGTATTTGACAATACATAACATCTTTTCATTATAAAAACACTCGGAAAACTAGGAATAGTGATTTGATCATAGCACATTATGTGTACATATCAAAATGTCACACTGTGCTCCATAAATATGTACAATTATTATGTGTCAATTAAAAAATACTTCTTAAGGTTATTGTTTAAAAGAAAACTAGGAATAGAAGTGAACTTCCTCATCAGGATAAAAGGTATTTATGAAAAACTCACAACTAACATCATACTTAATGAATGGCAAAAGGTATTCTGCGTGCCCTTAGAATAAGCATGTCTTAGAAAGGAAATGTCTGTTTTATGTTAATCTGGCACACACGTTAAGGGGAGCTTCTACTGTATTTCTGAAGCTACTTTGGTCTAAGTTTATAGCACAGATGCCAAAAGCATGCAGTTTTGGGAAATGTTAGAGAAATGGCCAATATACAAAATATCCTTTTAAAACATATAATTCACTGAGTGTGGTGGTACATGCCTATAGTCCCCGCTACTCAGGAGGCTGAGGTGGGAAGATCACTTGAGCCCAGGAGTTTGAGACTGGGTAACATACCACCTTTAAAAAAAAAAAAAAAGTATCATTCTAAGTTTTGTAATGAGAGTACTTTGAGAGTCAGGCTATTTGTTACTGATACACTGTGTCAGTATACTTTTGTTTTTCATTTTGTTTTGTAGAATACAAATTCCTAAAGAGTTTCCTGTATACTCATCTAGAACTATTCTAAAAAATATTTAAGAGTGAGAACTATAACAATTTTGTCATGTAAAAAAAAAATCAATCCAAAGCTGGGTACCATGGCTCACACCTATAGTCCCAGCTGCTCCAGAGGCTAAGGCAGGAGGATCACTTAAGCCCAGGAGTTTGAGACTAGCCAGGGCCACACAGTAAGACCCCATCTCAGAAACAAACAAACAAAAAAATCAATCCAAGAAGGAAATACTCTACGAGTAAAATATTGTTTGATTTAGTCCAATTCTCAAAACTCGAAGGTGGCACATGCCTATTGTCCCAGCTACTCAGCAAGCTAATAGCTTGGGCCCAGGAGTTCAAGTCTAGCCTGACAACATAGGGAGACCCTGCCTCTAAAAACAAAACAAAACAGGCGGTAGTTCACACCTGTAATCCCAGCATTTTGGGAGGCTGAGGGGGGAGGATTGCTTGAGGCCAGGAGTTCAAGACTAGCCTGGGCAACATAGTGAGATCCTGTCTCTACAAAAAAGTTAAAATTCTAAAATTTAAATTTAGCTGGGCATGGTGGCACATGCCTGTAGTCCCAGCCACTTGGGAGGCTGAGGTGGAAGGATCACTTGAGCCCAGGAGGTCAAGGCTGCAGTAAGCCATAATTCCACCACTGCACCCTAGCCTGCTCAACAGAGCAAAACCCCATCTCAAAAAAAACCTCCAAATGATGTCAATCTTCCCCAAATAGGAAAACATAATTATAACAGAGATTACAAAAGAGGCCAGTAAGTATGTATATATTGCTGGTTAAGAGCACTGACCTGGAGCCAGCCACCATTGGCTTTACCATGTACTAGCTGTGAGACCTTGGGCAAGTTACTTAACCTCTCTGTGCCCAAGTCTCCCCACTTGCCACATGGTGATAATAATAGTATCTTCTTTGGAAACCAGTATCGTAGTTCCTCATAAAGTTACACATCAAATTACCATATGATCTAGCAATTCCACTTCTGAGTAAATAACTAAAAGTATTGTAAGTGGGAACTCGAACAGATACTTACACACCAGTGTTCACAGTAGCATTATTCACAATAGACAGAAGGTGGAAACAGCCCAAATGTCCATCAACAGATGGATAAACAAAATGCGGCATACACATACAATGGTATATTACTTAGCCTTGAAAAGGAAGGAAATTCTGACACATTCTTATAGGGTAGATGAACCTTGAAGACATTATACTAAGTGAAATAAGTCAGACACAAGACAAATTATTGTATGACTCCACTTATCTGAAGTACCTAGAGTGCTCAAACTCATTAAGGCAGAAAGCAGAACGGTAGTTTCCAGGAGGGGGAGATGTGAAGTTATTGATTAATGGGCACAGAGCTTTAGTTTGGGGTGACAAAAAGGTTCTGAAGTTGGATGGTGGTGGCGGCTACACAACAATTTGAGATACTAATTCTTAGGTGTGCTTTTTAAGTGATTACCCTTTATATTAACAAGGTTGATTTTTTTTTCTCTTACTTAAAAATAATTCAAAATACTAAAAAAAAAAAAAAATCTTCCAGAAAAGAAACTAAGGCCTGAGCAACATGGCAAAACCCTATCTCTACAAAAAAACACAAAAATTAGCTGGGCGTGCTGGTGTGCACCTGTAGTCCCAGCTACTCAGGAAACTGAGGCAGGAGGATGGCTTGAGCCTGGGAAGTCAAAGTGAGCCGAGATCACACCACTGTACTTCAGCTCGGGCAACAGAACAAGAACATGTTGGAAAGAAAGAAAAGAAACTAAAGAAACATAAGGAAAAGTTCAAATTCTTGCTCCTTAACTTCCCTATAATGAAACAGAATGAGAGTACGCAAGGTGGGGATAGGCTCAAGTTTTTTTAGTAAGACACATTGAAGGAGTTTGGATTTTATTTTAAGGACAATAGCTATCAAATGAAGATTTATAGAGTAGGGAGTATCTGGCTAGATGTATAATCAATGAGGATAACTTAACTGGAAGGAAGCAAGGCTGGAGGCAGAGAGATGGTTAAGCGATTGACACAGTGATGGGGAGGAGGTATGAATGCACTGTACCCTGTGTTCCCCATAACACCGTCATTGTGTGATGGTCTCTTCTTCCACCTTCCATTAGATGTTCGATCAGTAAAGTCCGAGGCCTTATCTCATCACTGTTGTATCCCAGGCCCTAGCATAAAGGAGACACATGAAGAGTACTTGGTGATCAATAAAAATTGTCATATGAGTGATTACGTGATGAAAAAATAAATCATCCCTGGTATTTTCACTTCAAAGCAAAATCTGAGAAAGGACCATGCTTTCAAATAACATTCAATAAACATTTATTGATGGAAGATGACCTCAAAGAAGAGTAAGTCAGTAAGGAACATTTCTTGAACTGACTGAAACCTAACATTGAGTATAACTATTTCTTTCAAGAAATTAGCTAGGGAAAAGAGAACTGAAGGGTTGGCAGAACCAAGAGAAAAAAAATTTAGAAAACTTGAGAATGTGAGGAAAAAGGACGAACTCAGTCAAGACAGCAGTCTAAAGATGTAAGTTCTTATTGCCTGTAACCTGTGCCTTCAACTTCATCCTTCACACTGTTGCTAAAGTGGTGGGCACAATATGTGTATCTGATGACACTTCTCAGCTTCAGTGCCCCACCATCTACGGGGTAAAGTCAAGGATCAGGAGCAAGACACAGGAAAACCTCCCTGGCTAGTCAGCTATTCCTGCCTTGCTCTTGACACCACCTGCAATAACTCCCCAGGGTGAGAGAACCAGTCCCAGGCCAGTTACATGTGAACCACCCAAAAATATAGATCTATAAGCTCTGCCCCTGGAAACTCTGACTCAACAGGTCTGGGGTATGGCCAGGAATTTGTATTTTTACAAAGGTCCTCAGGGGACTCTGATGAGCCACCAAGTTTGGGAACCACACTGTATTAGTATAACATGGCATTTATAAAGAGCACCAGGTTTTGCATCCAGAAAGACCCCAAAACAAATCCCTCCTTGATCCTTTATAGGCTAAATGGTCTTGGGCAAGTTAACTATTTTCCCTACGTATTGCAGAGATTTTTCTATTCTAAAATGGGAATAATACCTTAATCAAAGAATACTGTAAGTATTAAATGAGAAAATATATGTAAAGTACTTAACAAGTATACATAAACATATACTATGTATGTATGTAAACTCAATAGATGTTAACTGTTAATAACTCTATTTAACACCTAACTGTTCAAACCATCTCCACCTCCTCACCATTCTCAACTTTTGTTCATGCCCCTCTCTCTGCCTGGTACTTTCCCCTGATTTTTTTTCCCCTGCTGGCTGCTGCAGTCTCCTCCACCAAGCCTCCACTGACATAAGCCCAATCTTCCTTCCCTCCTAGGGGAGGGCCAAGTACCTATCCTCTATGATTCCACAGTACCCTGTGCTTACCCCTCTTCATTCATTCAATAATATTTATTGAGCACCTCTTAGGTATTAGACACTGAAGACACATTTTTTTTTTTTTTTGAGATGGAGTCTCGCTCTGTTGCCCAGACTAGAATGCAGTGGCACAATCTGTGGTCACAGCAAGCTCCGCCTCCAGGGTTCACGCCATTCTCCTGCCTCAGCCTCCAGAGTAGCTGGGACTATAGACACCTGCAACCATGCCCAGCTAATTTTTTTGTATTTTTAGTAGAGACGGGGTTTCACCGTGTTAGCTGGGATAGTTTCAATCTCCTGACCTCATGATCTGCCTGCCTTGGCTCCCAAAGTGCTGGGATTACAGGCTTGAACCACCGTGCCTGGCCACTGAAGACACATTCTAATAGAAAATCATGTATCAAACAAATTACACAAATGCAGCAGTCTCCCTTTGTCCACAGTTTCACTTTCCACAGTTTCAGTTAGCACACTCAACCGTGGTCCAAATATATTAAATGGAAAATTCCAGAAATAAACAATTCTTAAGTTTTAAGTTGCACGCAGTTGAGCAGTATGATGAAATCTCACGTCATTCCACTCCATCCCTTCTTCATCACAAGAAGGGTGAGTACAGTACAATAAGATATTTTGAGAGAGAGACCAGTCACATAACTTTTATTACAGTATATTGTTAAAACTAATCTATTTTATCATTAGTTATTAGTATTCAGCTCTTGCTGTGCCTCATTTAAAAATTAAACTTTATTGGCCGGGTGTGGTGGCTCACGCCTGTAATCCCAGCACCCTGGGAGGCTGAGGCAGGTGGATCACCTGAGGTCAAGAGTTCAAGACCAGCCTGGCCAACATGGTGAAACCCCATGTCTACTAAAAATACAAAAATTAGCTGAGTGTGGTGGCACATGCCTGTAGTCCCAGCTACTCAGGAGGCTGAGGGAGGAGAATTGCTTGAACCCGGGAGGCAGAGGTTGCAGTGGGCGGAGATCCAAGATTGCACCACTGCACTCCAGCCTGGGTGACACAGCAAGACTCCGCCTCAAAAAACAAACAAAACAAAAAAACAAAAAAACTTTATCATGGGTATGTATGTATAGGAAAAACCATGGTATATATAGGGTTCAGTACTATCCATTGTTTCAGGCATCCACTGGGGGTCTTGGTGTAGTATTCCCCATGGATAAAGTAAGGAACTACTATAATTACAATCATGATTAAATTATTGCACAGCAATTATTTGTGTCTGTCTTTTTCCCACTAAATAATAAATACTTCAAAGCTATATCAAATTCATCTTTATATCTCCTGTATTCAGCAATGTCTGACAAAAAAGGAATATTAATAAATAATCTTAACTAAGAAGGAAGGCTTAATTAATGATGAGGGGTCCTGGAGAAGACAAGTGTGGATGACATCATGAATATAAATGGAAAAATTAGCCTTGAACAAGAGAAGGAAGAGCTCTTCTACTAAGATAGCTAAAGGGAAACAGGAAAAGACAATGTTGATTAGGTACATTTAAAGACAGAGGCAACAAGTGAAGGGATTCCAGGCCTAATGGCTCCTATTTTTGAAATAAGAAGCAAGATCATCTAGTGAGAATTTGGAGGTTAAAGTTGGATCAGGAGGCTTTTTTTTTTTTTCAGGAGGCTTAAAGGCAGACTTCTCCCCATTCCCAAGCCAGTAGTGGGCTAAAGTAGACATTTGTCAATATTGCTGCCTCCTCCTCCACTTCCTCCTTTTTCTCCTCCTTCTATTCTTCCCCTCCCCTTCCTCTCCTTTTCTTTCTTTTTTTTTTTTTTTTTTTTTTTTGACCCAGGATCCAAACATTCGTTGTCTTTTGAGGGAATCCTATTATGTATAATATTGGCAGAAAAGTGTCTACCTTCTCACTAAGTAAGCCAAAGAAGGCAGATCTTTCCTCTCCCAGCTCCCTGGTAGCAAAGGAATAGGCATGTGACCTATACTCAGCCAATCAGATGTTCTTGTGCAAGATTTTGAATCCTAAGCAGGTAATATAAAAATGGAGAGACAGTATTAAAATTATTTATGGGAATGGCAGAAGAAATAACAGCAAGAATGTAGGAGCAACAGCACATTAACCACTGTCCTAGTGCCATGGCATTAGCTGGGGTATATGCTGCTGGGCCTCTTTGCTTCCTGCCCATTTTCCAAGCTGGTTCTCCAGCTTCCCTGTTGATTTTGTGAGCTACCTACTATCTTCTAATAAATTCCTTTTCTACTTCATTAGCCAGAATCGTTTGATATTAGCCATTTGTTTGACTGATAAGCCAATTGGGGGAAGGGGGTCAGCCTAGACATCTTGGTAAGATCCAACACCGGTATTATATATGTAAGGGAGCTGGGCGCAGTGGCTCACGCCTGGAATCCCAGCACTTCAGGAGGCCAAGGTGGAAGGATTGCTTGAGCTCAGTTCAAGACCAGCCCGGGCAACATAGCAAGACCTCATCTCTACTAAAAATAAAATTTTAAAATTAGCCAAATGCAGTGGTGCACACCTATAGTCCCAGCTACTCAGGAGGCTGAGGTGGGATGATTGCTTGAGCCCAGCCATTCGAGGCTGCAGTGAGCTGTGATCGCATCACTGTACTCCAGCCTGGAGAACAAAGCAAGACCTGGTCTCAAAAGAAAAAAGAAAAATAAAATAAATATATATGTAAGGGAGCAGAGTACCTCTGGAAATTAGGAGATGGTGGTCAGTCAATAGAATGAAGGAGTCAAGATTTCAGAGTGTCTTACAGTCTAAAAGTCATGATAGTAAAATGTTGGAAAGAAGTGGAAGTGAAGGTCACTGGAGTTGAAAAGAACAAGGATGATGAAACTAGCATGTTGCATGGTAGTCCACCTGGCTACTGAAGCCACCCAGAATGATAGTGGAAGAGATGGACAGAAAACTGAGAAAAGAGTGCCAAAGTCTTTGATAAACAAGGGATAAGCTACAGGCAGACTAATAAATGACAGTGACAAAGAATGACAGAAAATGATTAAGATGACACGAATTTCAGGGCCAGACACAGTGGCTCACACCTGTAACCCCAGCACTTTGGGAGGCCGAGGTGGGCGGATCACCTGAGGTCAAGAAGTCAAAATCAGCCTGGCCAACATGGTGAAACCTCGTTTCTACTAAAAATACAAAAAATTAGCTGGGTGTCGTGGAGGGCGCCTGTAATCCCAGCTAGTCAGGAGGCTGAGGCAGGAGAATTGCTTGAACCCAGGAGGCAGAGGTTGTGGTGAGCCGAGATCACACCATTGCACTCCAGCCTGGGCAACAAGAGCGAAACTCCGTCTCAAAAAATAAAAATAAACCAAAAAAAAAAAAAAAAAGATGGCACGAATTTCAAAGGAAGAAGAATTTTTACATGAGGGTGAAAGAACAATGATTTGGAATTGGAAGTAGACTGATTCAGCTTACTGGCTTGAAGACAAAATGGTATGGAAGAATGAACAGCTTTCATTCAAGATGGTCCCCGAAGAGTGGCATTCTAGCAGGAAAGCCAGGATTTAGTTAAGACAGAGATGAGAGGGGTAGTCTATAAAAAGAGTATTTGTAAAGAAGTTTATTCACGTTAGAGTAAGTCTGACGCTCCAAAGGACTCTATGGAAAGTGTTGGAAGGAAAGTCAGTAGAAGAACGAGATAGGATAGGTTAAAAAAAATAAAAAGGTCAGAGCTACACAATCAGCCCTCTGTACACCCATGGATTCAACTGTATATTGAAAATATTTGGGGAAAAAACTGCATCTGTACTGAACATGTACAGTCTTTTTTCCTTATCATTATTCCCTAAACAATACAGTATAAAAACTATTTATACAGCATTTACATTGTATTAGGTATTATAACTGATCTAGAGATGATTTGAAGTATACAAGAAGATGTGCATAGGTTATATGCAAATATTCTGCCATTTTATGTAAGGGACTTCAGCATCCGTGGATTTTGGTATCCACAGGAGGTCCTGGAGCCTATCCCCGCCACATGCCAAGGGGTGACTGCATGGAGAAGGGAATACAAGAAAAAACAGTTGAGCAGAGGTGTCCACATATAAAATAGACATTAAATGGCTGCTGCTAAACATAAGTATAATGAAGAAAATTCATATTTAAATACAAAGGCAATGATGCTATAGAATATTTATCCACTCCTTTACCTAAGGCCTAGGCTCCAAGCGTTTATTCCCAGGCTAGATTCGAATCTGTCGTGAACAAGTTACTTGATCTCTTTAAACTTCAACTGGGGGTAGCAGTTCCTTTCTGGATTGTAAATGCCAAATCAACAACATGTGACAGTCTAACACAATGCTTAGAACATGTAGGCACTCGTGCCCAGTAGGCTACGAAATTCTTCAAGACAGGGTTGTAGAAGACAACGTCCAGATAGCTTCCAGTGATTCCTGCCTCCTGGTAACGTCCATATGGCTTCCAGTGATTCCCGCCTCCTGGCTTTCACACATTCGTGCAGTCCCCTTTCACAATACACCAGGGCTGACCCATGGGACCAACAGAATATGGCAGAAGTAACAGCACATCACTTTCATACTAGATTTTCATGTTGGCCCCCCCACACCCCTCTTATCACGAGTCCTGCGGGAAACCAGCTGCCTATGGGTAACCCCACTCAAGCAGCACTCAAGCAGCCTATGGGAAACCCCAGGAAAGCAGAGTCTCTGCCCAACCAATCCATCAGATTACGGCAGCCCCAGCCAACATCTTGACTACAACCTCATGAGAGACTCGGAGCCAGAACCACCCAATTAAACAACTTCTAGATTCCTGACCCTAAGAAACTGTGTGAAAAAATAAATGTTTATTGTCTTAAGCCACTAAGTTTTGGGGGTAATTTGTTACCACAAAATAGATGACTAATAGGTAATAGTACTAGATAACATCTAGAGGTATGGTACGGGAAAACGGGGAGCTGGCGTAACACATGCCTAAAAATGTGGGAGAGGCTTTGCAGCCAAGCAGTACTGGCCCTTCCGTAGGCTCTAGGTTAGAGCTTAAGGGAAAGTGAGGAAAATCACATTGGAAACTGCAAAGAGAGATCCTTTTTATGCAATAGCAGAAATTTTGCAACATTGTCACCTGTATCAACATGGAAAGTAGAAAATAAACTGGGTAATCTAGATAAGGGGATTTCCAGGAAAAGCACTGAAGGTGCTTCCTGGTTCCTTCCAGTTGCGCATAATAAAATACAAGAGATGGGTGGGCTCGGTGTCTCATGCCTGTCATCCACACTTTGGGAGACTGAGGTGGTAGGATCACAATCACTTAAGGCCAGCCTGAGCAACACAGAGAGACCTCATCTCTACAAAAAAATTTAAAAATAGTGAGGCACAGTGGCACATACCTGTAGTTCTTGCTACTCGGGAAGGTGAGGTGGGAAAATCGCTTGAGCCCAAGGAGTTCAAGGTTACAGTGAGCTATGATCGCACCACTGCAATCCAGCCTGGGGGATAGAGTGAGAACCTGTCCCTCTTTTTTTTTTTTGAGATGGAGTCTTGCTCTTGTCACTCAGGCTGGAGTGCAGTGGCACAATCTCGGCTCACTGCAACCTCCACCTCCCGGATTCAAGCGATTCTCCTGACTTAGCCTCCCAAGTAGCTGGGGTTACAGGCGCCTGCCACCACGCCCGGCTAATTTTTGTATTTTTAGTAGAGACGGGGTTTCGCCATGTTGGCCAGGATGGTCTGGATCTCCTGATTTCATGATCTGCCCGCCTTGGCCTCCCAAAGTGTGGGGATGACAGGTGTGAGCCACCGCGCCCGGCCGAGAACCTGTCTCTTTTAAACAAACAAACAAAAAATAAAATACAAGAGGAGAGATAACCTAAAGGAAAGCCTGTTAAACAACAAGGAGCCAGGAATTGCTAGTTGTGAAAATTCCCTAGATCTCCAGATGGCAAGAAAACACTAAGAAGTGGCTTCTTAAAGATCAAATTTAGGGCACTGCCAGGAAAACATAATACAGTATATGGTTCTACAGTCCTTTCTTAAGACTTCAGAATTACCAAATGTGGTGCATCAAGGCAACATTCAGACTAGCAAAGAATCTCTAGAAAGTTTGAGGGTGAGTCTTACAGATCCTTTCACTCAAACAACAGGGTTTAAAAAGAAGTTTAATGTCCCAGGCGCAGGGGCTCACACCTGTAATCCCAGCACTTTGGGAGGCTGAGGCCGGCAGATCACGAGGTCAGGAGTTTGAGACCAGCCTGGCCAATATGGTGAAACCCCATCACTACTAAAAATACAAAAATTAGCCAGGCATGGTGGCATGCACCTATAGACCCAGCTACTTGGGAGGCTGAGGCAGGAGACTCACTTGAGCCCAGGAGGCGGAGGTTACAATGAGCCGAGATTGTGCCACTGCACTCCAGCCTGGGTAACAGAGCAAGACTCCATCTAAGAAAAAAAATAAAAAAAGAAGTTTAATGTCTCTTAGCTATCTTAGTAGGAGCCAAAGACAGAGAACAGCTTATCTCAAACAAATTTGTGTATATGGCTTTTGTCTAATGGACAATAAGATTCGTGGGAGACCTATGAAAAATTTTAAAAGGAAGCTATTTGCAGAAACACCTTAAGCCTGAACTAAAAATGACAAAGAGATTACAAAAGGAAAAACGTTCTTTGGACTCCCAAAACTTCTATTGACAGGAATCAGGCTTAGAAAACTGCTTAGCTGTAAACATGTACTACTTCTCGTAAAAGAAAAGATGACAAAGAGTCTAACCAAGAGCTCAGGGGACAGAGCTAAAGGCCACCTAGAATCACTTCTGGACAGTAAGACTGAGTCCTAATCAATAAATGTCCAATACTTGCCAGGCTCAGTTTTATGAACCACGACTCCTGTGTTCCTCCCATTTCCTCCTTACTATGGAGGAATACCAAAAAGTATACCAAAAAAAAAATGTATCCCCAAAGTTCGTGTGTTGGAAACTGAAACCCCCATGCAAGTTTTGGGAGGTGGAAGCTTAAGAGGTGATTAGGCCACGAGGGCTCTGCCCTCATGAATGGATTAATGCTGTTATCTTAGGAGCACGTATGTTATAGCAGGAGTGGGTTCCTTAACAAGAATGAGTTCAGCCTCCTTCCCCATCCCCATATGATGCCTTCTACCATGTTATGATGCAGCAAGAAGGCCCTCACCAGATGCAGACCCTCAATCTCGGACTTTCCAGCCTCCAGAAATGTGAGAAATAAATTTATGTTCTTCATAAGTTACCTAGTCTGTGGTATCCTGTTACAGCAGCACAAATACACGAAGACATCCTCTTTTTTGATAGAAGTGTCTGTGGATGTTACCTTTTCCCATTGTATGTTGAGTGGTAAGGGGCAAGTAACATCTCTCTAGTTCACAGGTCTATAGATCAAGAGAAACCACTCAAGAAGTCATACATAAGTAGCTACAGCCAAGGAACCTCATTACCACCTGGGCTTGATTTAGATATGATATTCTGGACTTTGAGCTGATGCTGTAATGGCTGTAATGGGACGGAAGGCCCATTCTAGTGGGCCTTTGGAGAGAGTGAGTGCATTCTACATGTGCGAGAAACGTGAATCACTGGAGGCCAGAAGGCAGACTGTGGTAGCCAGCCTCTGAGATGGTTCCCGATGACCCTCACCTCTTGCTATTTATACCACTGCGCAGTCACCACTGATATTATATAGGGTTAGTTTATGTCACCAATAGAATAGAGCAAAAGTAATGTTTGGTTACTTCTGAGATTATGTTATAAAAGATATTGTGGCTTCTGTGTCATCTCTTTCTGTCTCTTGAATGACTCACTCTATGGGATACCAGATGCAATGTTGCATGTACAGTCAAGTGGCCTATAGAGAGTCTCATGTGTCAAGAAACTGAGGCCTCCAGCCAACAACCAATAAGGAACCAAGGCTTCCTGCCAAAAGTCATGTGAGTGAGCCCCAGACTATGAGAGACCCTTAGGCACAATCACCCAGTAAAGCTACAGCCAGAAATTATGAGAGATAATAAATATTTGTGGGTTTTAGCTGCTAGATTTGGGAGTAATTGGTTACAGAGCAATAGCTAACTGACACAGGCACTACGTCAAATTCATTCTTTTTGTTTTTTGTTTTTTTGGGGGCTTTTTTTGAGACACAGTCTCACTCTGTTGCCCAGGCTGCGGTGCAGTGGCACAATCTCGGCTCACTGCAACCTTCGCCTCCCAGGTTCAAGTGATTCTCCAGCCTCAGCCTCCAGAGTAGCTGGGATTACAGATGGGTACCACCATGCCTAGCTAATTTTTTGTATTTTTAGTAGAGACAGGGTTTCAGCATGTTGGCCAAGCTGGTCTCAAACTCCTGGCCTCCTGTAATCTGCCCGCCTGAGCCTCCCAAAATGCTGGGATTATAGGAGTGAGCCACTGCGCCCAGCCTTCAAATTCATTCTTTTACTTCTGTAATCCTAGTTGTTTAAGAAATTTTGCAAATTCAATTAATTTTCTTTTCCCTTTCCCTCTCTCACTGATTTGTCACTTTCTCAATAAAGAATTCAAGGTTTGAAAAATTATTGTGGCGGCAGTATTCAAAAAACTTTCCTTCACTAAACACACACTTAACTGTGTTCCACTGCTGCTGTTGTCTATACTTTAAGGGAAATGTGGCCCAATTTAGCTTTAGAATGAGCAGGATGGCTTTCTGTCTTCTCATACTTTGCCATTTTACTGTAAACAGCTTTTTCAAATTGAAGAAAAGTTTTTCCTTGTTGAAAAAATTATCAAGCCTAAAAACAGCGTGCAATCACAGATACGTCTATAAAAAGATGTCTGTCAACTGCGTTTGCTAGTTAGAAGAAAGCTTATTGCAGTTTCCAGCTCCCTGTCGGCTCTTCCTATCTATGGGTTTTGGTTTAAAACACATACTCACAAAATGTTAAAGGCCTTCTATAAACCAAGTGATTTTCTCTTGAATAAATCAGTCCAGACAGTCAATTGTAACAGCTTTCTTTACTTTCTACACTATGAAAACCAGAAAAACCTTTACAAGGCTCGAACCACATGAAAATTACTTAAAACATACTGAATGTCAAGAAAAAAAGTTTCCTTGTGAATATTTGTTTATGATTTTAAATAAATATCAAGATCTTTACATGACTTTCTAGAGATTCAGAGCCACTCCTATAAAAGTTTAAAAAGGTGGTAATAGCAAAATGCTGACCAAACAGGCCCTGACTCCTACTGCTCTATTTCTCTACCTCACAGGGCTGTTACGAGGATTAAAAGTCATAATGTATACAAAGGGCATAAAGCTGGACCATAGTAAACAAGTTACAATAATGGAATCAGAATAATCCAGAAAGCTAATACAAAATAGAAATTATCTGCCAAAAATTCTGACTCATTCCCCAAACCTGACCCCACCCTGTGACCTCCAGAGAGGGAAGAGGCTGGGGATTGAGCGAATCTCGAATGGCCAGTGATCGAACCAACCATGCCTACATAATGGAACCCCCACAAAAACCCTAAACAAAGGGGTTCCAAGAGCTCTGGAATGGCAAGCACATCCACATGCCGGGAGAATAGTGCACCCAACTCCACAGAACAGAAGCTCCTCAGCTGGGGTACCTGGCAGAGCTCACCGCACCCTTTATGTCACTCCATCTGTTTCTTCATTTGCATCCTTTATGATAAACCAGTAAATGTTAAACAAAGTGTTTCCTTGAGTTCTGTGAACCTTTATAGCAAATTATGGAACTAAGAAGGGGGTTATGGAAACCCCCAATTTGTAGCCACATCTAACTGAAGTGTGAGTAACTTAAGGATCCACTACCTTTAATCAGCAGTTAGCCTACTTTCCTAGGGAATGGTCTTGTGGGACCAAATCCTTAACCTGTGGGATCTGTAGTAACTCTGGGTAGTTGGTATTAAATTGAGTTGAATTGTAGGACTCCCAGTTGGTGTCCACAGGGAACTGGA
The DNA here is from genome assembly GCF_000001405.40 of Homo sapiens. Taxonomy (NCBI): domain Eukaryota; kingdom Metazoa; phylum Chordata; class Mammalia; order Primates; family Hominidae; genus Homo; species Homo sapiens. The sequence continues at coordinate 244,990,917 of NC_000001.11, read as the reverse complement.
GAATTGTTTGGTGTGGAAAACCCACACATTTGGTGCCAGAAGTACTGAGTAGAACTAGATCCTAGCAGTAGTAGTAGTAGTAGTAGAAGTACAAAAAAAAAAACACCACCCACATTAGGCCAGGCGCAGTGGCTCATGCCTGTAGTCCCAGCTGCTAGGAAGGCTGAGGTGGGAAGACTGCTTGAGCCTGGGAGGCGGAGGTTGCAGTAAATCGAGATTCCAGCCTGGGCAACAGAGCAAGACACTGTCTCAATAAAACCCCCCAAAAACACCACACCTTGATGGGGCTATGTCATAGTGACATAGGAGCCAGCGAAAAGAGCTTCCAATGGCCAAAGCTGAAACAATTTGAGCAACAAAATGAATAAAGTAGTACTGGCTCATAACCCAAAGTATAAAATAAACATCCAATGTGTCCATACTGACAGGAATGAATGATCAAGTGCAGTAGTCTCCCCTTATCCACGAGGGATAAGTCCCAAGACCTGCAGTGGGTGCCTAAAACCTCAGATAACACCAAGCCCTATATATACTATGTTTTCCCCTATTCATACATGCCTGTGATAAATTAAGCACATTAAGAAATTAACAACAGTAACCAATAATAAAATAGAATAATCATAACAACATACTGTAATGGAAGCTATATGAATGGCCTCTCTCAAAATATCTTATTGTACTGTACTCATGCGTCTTGTCATATGTGAGACGATAAAATGCCCACGTGATGAGATGAAGTGAGGTGAATGACACAGAGCACCATGATGCAGTGTCAGGCTACTGTTGACCTGATGATACACCAAAAGGAAGAGCACCTGCCTTGGGAGATCCCGGGTCATCCCGAGCCATGACAATGTTCATGGTTAAATGTCAGAAGCAGAAGATGTCAATGATTAAAGACAGGTAGCATATACAATGTGGATAAACTGGACAAAGCGATGATTCACATCCTGGTAGGACAGAGAGAGATTTCGTCATGATACTCAAAATAGCATGCAATTTAAAATGAATGGTTTATTTCTGGAATTTTCCATTTAATATTTTCAGATCTTGGTTGACCTTAGTTAACTAAAACCACGGAAAGCCAAACCATGAATAGAGGAAACTGTAAATAAATATATAGGAGAAAAGATACAAATCTTCTGTTCAGAAGAATTTCAAATAATTCATGTAGATTCTCTGCCCTCAAGGAGGGAAGCATAACTCCATACTCCTTGAGTGTGGGCTGCACATATGACTTCCTTCCAAAGACTACGGAATGGGGAGACAGAGTTACCACAGTGGAGAAACCAGACAAACACTACCTCAGCCAGGCGATCGAGGCTAACATCAACAGTGATCAATTGTATTGATATTAATAGTACATAACCTTGATGTCATGTGATGAAAATGGTACTTTAACTCTGTGGTCTCCCTCCTAAAATCCCATTCCACCAGTCTAATCAGGACACAAACATCAAATTCTAATAGAGGGGCATTCTGACCCATTCTGAAAACTGTCAAGGAGGTCATTAAAGACAAGGAAAACCTGAGAAACGATCACAGCCAAGAGGAGCCGAAGGAGCCATAGCAACTAAATGGTAACCTGGTGTCCTTGATGGGACTCCGGAGCAGAAAAGGACATTAGGTAAAAATTAAGAAAATCTGAGTAAAGTATGGACTTTAGTTAATTTTTAAAATTACTTTATTGGCCTGGTGTGGTGACTCATGCCTGTAATCCCAACACTTCGGGAGGCCAAGGTGGGAGAATCGCTTGTGCCCAGGAATTCAAGACCAGCCTGGACAACAAAGTGGGTCCTTGTCTCTACAAAAAATAAATAAATAATAACTAAATAAATCAAAATTACTTTATTAACATTGTACTTTGAACAAATTTTGCCACCATTTCTAGGTTGCAATACAGTGTCATGGTTAAGATCACAGACTCTAGAACCAGACCACCTGGTTTAAAGATCATATTCTTACATATTCATACGTACATAGCTCTGTAATCTTTAGGATAAATAACTGCTCAAATATTCAGTTTTTCTCATCTGTGAAAAGCACAATATCGAGTATCTAGCTGACAAGGTTGTTTTGAGGGTTACCACCTGAACTATAGGAATATTCAATCAAAGTTACCCATTATCATTACTAATTTTTTGTAACGTAGGGAAGTTGCCTAGTATCTCAGGAAAGTAAGTTACACAGATTTGGTTGAGAGAAAATAAGTTTTCTATTAGTCATTCACAGGAAGCATATATGGAAAGAGAGAAAACAGGCAAAGGTCTAATGTCACACTCAGTGTTATTAGCATTACTTTTCATGAAGATATAAGCCTTATAGGAATCTGATGACATTTCACTAACAATATTTTGGAACTAGCAATTACTATAATTTTTGCAATGGGTTGGATACGCATATCATCTTTCCTAAATATTAAATAAAATTTTTTATTTCATGCTCCTTTAAAAATATATTATTTACCTTATTTTTAGTTGTTCCTACTCTAATAGGCCACAAAATATAAACAGCAGTGTTGCTTATTATAAAATAAATATAACTAAATTAGTATGTCAATATAATAACAAAATGCCACTTAATTGATAAAAATCCCAGTTGAGGCAAGTTATACCATTATATAATAATTCTCTAGCTACCCAGGAGGCTAAGGCGGGAGGATCGCTTGAGCCCAAGAGTTCAAGGCCAGCCTAGGCAACATAGTGGGACCCGATCTCATTTAAAAAAATAATAAATTAAATAGTTCCCTTTTCACTTTAATTCCATATTGGGTATATGAAAGCCAACAATTTCACACTGTATTTGTTTTCCATCAATGGAAATGCTGCAAAGACTAAAAAACTACATATTGCACTAAGTTAAAATCTAAACCATAGGAGAAAAACAACAAAAAAAGTTAAACTTAATTTCGAAAGAACAAATTAATGATAATAAATACAAAGGAGCAGTCATAACAAAACACAAGTCAAATCACCTAAGGATATAAGAGAAGTTTTTTAAACAAATAGTGCAGCTGAGTTTTTTCTAACATGGAGATGTCTGTTTACATATTTAAATATCTAATTAGATACTCAAAATCCCACCTACAGAAATTAAGATAAAATAATAAGCCCCAAGAGGAATACTTACCATGGGAACTGTTTAAAGCATACAAAAAAGAAGGTAAAGAAATGCCCTCAAGGTTAATTAACTGAAAGTACAGATAATGTTATTGTTCTATTTGACCCAATTAATACCAATACATATTCCAGACATATGCTGTCAAAAAAAAAAAAATCAAGAATCCAATTCTTGGCCTTTGGCTGGGGGGGTCAGGGGAGAGAGGTGGTAGGAATAGTTCTTTGAGAATTCTTTTTTCATAAACAACTTGATCCAAAGACAATATACCACCAAAACACTAGGCTTAAAATGAAATACCGTAGCTGTGGCTCACACCTGTAATCCCAGCACTTTGGCAGGCTGAGGTGGGCGGATCACTTGAGGTCAGGAGTTCGAAACCAGCCTGGCCAACATGGTGAAACCCCATGTCTACTAAAAATACAAAAAAAAATTAGCCAGGTGTGGTGATGCACGCCTGTAATCTCAGCTACTCGGAAGGCGGAGGAATGAGAATTGCTTGAACCCGGGAGGTGGAGGTTGTAGTGAGCTGAGAACGCGCCATTGCACTCCAGCCAGAGCGACAGAGCAAGACTCCATCTCAAAAAAAAAAAAAGAAAGAAATACTGTACTCAATCATCATCTACTTTTATGTTAATCTGTGCTTTCATTTATGAAATGTTTGTTGATCAGCTACCATCTACTATAAATACATTCTAACTTAAAAGGAAAACAGACCAGCTATAGTAAATCACAACAGATCAGTGCTAAAACTTAGTGACATACACAGACAGCCCTACGGAGGCACAAGAGTGGCACCCACCTCAGACTTGAGGATGGACCTTAGATAAAGATGAGAAGCAAGAGTCAGAAGTTGGACTGAAAGGTGTTCATTCATCCCTGTCTCCTCCAGTCCCCACATCCAGTCACAAAAACGTTTAGACTCTCTTGACTCTCAAACCTTCTCTGCCATTTCCTCCGCTGCTGTCTAATCCAAGACACCACCATCATTATCTGCTCTTGCCGTGCTCCACCCTTCCACAGTGCAAGCAAGTGATCTTTTTTTTTTTTTTTTTTGAGACAGGGTCTCACTATGTTACCCAGGCTGGAGTGCAGTGGCTATTCACAGGTGTGATCATAGCTCACTGCATCCTCGAACTTCTAGGCTCAAGCAATCCTCCCACCTCAGCCTCCCAAGTAGCTGGGACTCCAGGCTCGTGCCATCACATCTGGCCAAGTGACCTCTTAAAAACATAATGAATTGTATCATTTCCCTGTTTAAAAAGCTCCAATGGCTCCCTCTTGCTCTTGTATAGAAGTCAGCCTCCCTGACCTGGTCTTCACAAAGACCTGGCCTCTGCCTACTTTCAAACTTCATTTCACACCATTCTTCCCACCTTCATGTCTCCATTCCAGCCACAATGGAGCCTCGTGCAACTCCTCTAATAAGCTATGCTCCTTTCTTACTTCAGGCTTGTAAATTCGCAGTTCCATCTGTTACTAGTAGTAGTTTTTGGTAGAGGAAATGTCACATTCAAAGCCACTGAAGTAAGAAAAATTTAAATCAGACCAGGCATGGTGGCTCATGCCTGTAATCCCAGCACTTTGGGAGGCCGAGGTGGGCGGGTCACCTGAGGTCAGGAGTTCAAGACCAGCCTGACCAACATGGAGAAACCCCGTCTCTACTAAAAATATAAAATTAGCCAGGCATGGTGGCACACGCCTGTAATCCCAGCTACTCGGGAGGCTGAGGCATAAGAATCACTTGAACCTGGGAGGTGGAGGTTGTGGTGAGCTGAGATCATGCCACTGTACTTCAGCCTGGGCAACAAGAGTGAAACTCTGTCTGAAAAAAAAATAAAAGAAAGAAAAAAGAAAAATTTAAATCAGATGTCCCTTTTGTGGAACCCTGAACTTTTTTGAACTGCTTATAACAATTATGTATTTTTTTTTTTTTTGAGATGGAGTCTCCCTCTGTTGCCCAGGCTGGAGTTCAGTGGCACGATCTCGGCTCACTGCAACCTCTGCCTCCCGGGTTCAAGCAATTCTCATGCCTCCGCCTCCCAAGTAGCTCAGATTACAGGTGTGTGCCACCATGCCTGGCTAATTTTTGTATTTTAGTAGAGACGGGGGTTTCACCACATTAGCCAGGCTGGTCTTGAACTCCTGGCCTCGAGTGATCTGCCCACCTTGGCCTCCCAAAGTATTGGGATTACAGGTGTGTGCCACCACACCTGGCCCAATAATTATGTAACTCTTTAATGGTTCTCTCCTCTACAGCAATATCTAAGAGGACAGGGCCCAAATCTGTTTTATTCCCCAACATCTAGCACCAGGCCTAACACGGTAAGTAAGGACTCATAACATTTCTAGAGCTCTTACGGCATGTGAAGTTCTCCACAACATCCTTTACCACCACATGGGACAGGCTCTGCTATGCTCCTCATTTGACATGTGAAGAAATTAGAACACCTAAGTACCTTGCCTAAAGTTATCCAGCTCTAAAGTGGCAAAGCCAGAATTTGAGCCCATAAGGATTAACTACAGACTTCATGTTCTTAACCACTAAGCAATGCTATTTACTAAATGAAGTCTGGGATAAGGAAACAATATGTGCGCAGGCTAGCACTTTCATTACAGGAACAACAAAGAAATTGCTCTCTATGATGAAGCGTATAATGAAGTGTAGAATGCGTGAATGGTGATACCACACATGTAATCAGAAAAAAAAAAAAAAAAAAAAAACCCTGGAGACAGAAGACATCCTTGTCTGTTTTGTTAGAATTCAGACTATCCTAAGGGTAATGGGAAGACATTAAGGATTTTAGGTAGAGAATTCATTAACCAATAACCAGATTTACAGCATAATAAATGAAAACAAGTAAACCAGGTAAGAGGTTTTTGTAAGGAGCCAGTAAGTACAGATAAACACGTATGTGTCAGGAAATTGAGGGAGTTTTTTTTTTTTTTTGAAGGGGGGGTGTTTTTTGACAGAGTCTTGCTCTGTCGCCCAGGCTGGAGTGTAGTGGCATGATCTCGGCTCACCGCAACCTCCACCTCCCAGGTTCAAGCGATTCTCCTGCCTCAGCCTCCCGAGTAGCTGGGACTACAGGCGTGTGCCACCACACCTGGCTCATTTTTATACTTTTAGTAGAGACAGGGTTTCTCTGTGTTGGCCAGGCTGGTCTCGAACTCCTGACCTCAGGTGATCCACCTGCCTCAATTTCCCAAAGTGCTGGGATTACAGGTGTGAGCCACCACACATAGCCTATTTTCAGTATTTTAAAAGGATTCACAGAAAAATACATTTACTCTTAATAAGAAGATGCAAGGTGCCATCAATGTGCTACTCCTGGTTCCTGCATTCTTGCAACAAATATTTACAGTGATTACTATATCCTACACATTTTCTAAATCCAGGGATTTAGTAACAAAAGAAACAAAATATCTAGTTTCCTATCATTTCCACTGTAACAGGATAGAGAGACAATAAGCAAATCTGTATTTTATCCTGATCATAAGCTCTGAATGGCAATATGTGGGTCTATGATTGATTTCTTTAAAATTGGAGAGAAATAATGTAATTAATACAAAAGGATCACAAGGTACTCACAGAATTGGGAAATTGGGTTATCCTCTGTAACTAGGAAGACCCACCAGAGATGGGATTCAACAAAATTATTCCCCCCCCCCAAAAAAATTAGCCAGGTACGGTGGCATACACCTGTAGTCCCAGCTACTCAGGAGTCTGAGGTGGGAGGACCGCTTGAGCACAGGAGTTTGAGGCTGCAGTGAGCTAAGATTGGGCCACTGCACTCCAGCCTGGATGACAGAGAGAAACCCTGTCTCTCCAGAAAAAAAAGAAATTTTTCCAAAGTGGGTAGAGGATGAGGATCAAAGCTGGGTCAAAAAAAAAATCCTTGTATAAGAACATTTACAACAGAACATTTTTAAACAATTTAAATATCTAACAGTTAGACAAACCTTAAGTAAATCATAGTGACCATAAGTATTAATGTTAGGTTAAGTTGGTGCAAAAGTAATTGCGGTATTTCCGGTTACTTTTTTTTTTTTTTTTTTTTGAGACAGAGTCTTGCTCTACTGCCCAGGCTGGAGTACAATGGCATGACCTTGGCTCACTGCAACCTCCGCCTCCTGAGTACAAGTGATTCTCCTGCCTCGGCCTCCCGAGTAGCTGGGATTACAAGCATGCGCCACCACAACTGGCTAATTTTTGTATTTTTAGTAGAGACAGGGTTTCACCATGATGGCCAGGCTGGTCTCAAACTCCTGACCTCAAGTGGTCCGCCCACCTCAGCCTCCCAAAGTGCTGGAATTACAGGTGTGAGCTACCACGCCAGGCCCGATTACTTTTAATAGCAAAAACCACAATTACTTTTGCACCAACCTAATATAATGAATGCAACTCCTTTATATGTCTTTAAGAAATACTTGTGACATGAAAAAATGTTTCTAATAGTAAGTGAAAAAAGCTGGACATAAAACCATATTCAATATCATCTCAAGTTTGTAAAACAAAACAAAATACAAATCTGCCTAGACAAAACCTAGAAGGAAATACACTGAAATGGCAAAATTCACTTTAAATTTTAGATCAATGTTTCTTAACAGCATGCTCATCCTGTGGTAACTTGTTAGAAATGCAAATTTCCAGACCCCCTCACTCCAGATTACTGAGGGTGAGACCCAACAATCTATGTTTTAACAAGCTTTCCAGATGATTTTCTTCTTTTTTTTTCCCTAGGAGATTGGAGTCTCACCCTCTTGCAATGGCGCGATATCAGCTCATTGCAACCTCTGCCTCCTGGATTCAAGAAATTCTTCTGCCTCAGGCTCCCAAGTAGCTAAGATTACAGGCACCCACCACCACACCTGGCTAATTTTTTGTATTTTTATTTTTAGTACAGACAGGGTTTCACCATGTTGGCCAGGCTGGTCTCGATCTCCTGACCTCAGGTGATCCACCCGCCTCAGCCTCCCAAAGTGCTGGGCCCGCTCAGCCCATTTTTTCAAATATTTCTTCTGCTCTATTCTTTCTTTTCCTTCTGGCATTCAATTACATGTTATTTCACACCTTTTAAATTATCCCATGGTTCTTGGGTGTTGTTTTTTCATTCTTTTCTCTCTTTGCAATTCAGTTTGGAAAGTTTCTAGTGACATACCTTCAAGCTCAATGATTCTTTCCTCAGCCACATTGAGTCTATGGACTCCAGGGTCCGAGTGATTCTCCTGCCTCAGCCTCACAAGTAGCTGGGACTACAGGCACACGCCACCACGCCTGGCTAATTTTTGTCTTTTTGTAGAGATGGGGTTTTGCCATGTTGGCTAGGCTGGTCTCACACTCCTAACCTCAAGTGACCCACCCTCCTTGGCCTCCCAAAGTGCTGGGATTACAGGCATGCGTCACCAAGCCCGGCCTGAACCTTTAACATATTAATCACAGTTCTTTAAATTCCTTGATAATTACAAAACACCCATTATCATATATCTAAGTCTGGTTCTGATGCTTGCTTTGTCTCTTCGGGCTGTTTTTCTTGCCTATTAGCATGTCTTGTCATTTTTTGTTGGAAGCCAGACATGATAGTAATCAGCTACTAGTGTGAGGCTTTACCCCAATCTGGCTAGGAGTAGGGCTGTGTTTAATGTTTGCTGTAGCTGTAGGTGCCAGATTCCTCTTCAGGCTTCCCTAAGAACTTGTCCTTAAATAGAGTCTCCACCTTGTAGGTCTTCCAGCTGCAAGCCGCTGTCAGTTGGTCTGAGTTGTATTCCTGTTGATGTGGTGGTGAGGGATGGGTGAGGAGAATTCTATCAACTTACGATGAAATCTCAGTCTTTTAGTGGACCTGTGTCAATGGGCTGTGACCTTCACAAGTGTTTTTCAGCTTTTTCCATCCGTTGAGATAAGACCAGACTAGCGGCCACTGAAATTGGCCTTTTTATGAAGAATGCACTAGCATATTTCAAAAGCGTTGCTTTCCCCTTCCCCTGTTAAACCAACCTTGCTTGGCTCTTCACCAGAATAACCCCGTGGGGTTCCTAGGAGTAAAACCGGAGGAAGTGTGAGGGACCGCCTAAGACTGCAGGCCTCCAGGAGTTTCTCACTCTCATGACAGTCCACACGCAGCCTCCACCAATTTGTCAAAATTAACAAATATTTCTTGCAGTTTATGGCTCCAGGAGCAACCGGAGTGATGACTTCCAAGCGCTTACCTTTTGAGCTGAAACTGGAAGGCTGCTTTACCTATCTAAGCCTCCATTTCCTTACTTGTGGAAAGCGGGTAACAGAGGCACCTACCACATAGATTTATTGTAAGGATTAAAGGACATAATACACGTAAAACATTCAGCCCAGTGCCTACTTCAGAGTAAGTGCTCTATAAATGTTAACCATTGGGGAGTTTTTCCCAACATTTTTAAGTGCTTCCTTCATGAAATTCTTCCTACTTGGCTTTTGTGACACTATTTGCTCATTTTCCCATGATTTTGCAATTGTGCTTTCAATCTTATTCACAAGTTATTTTTCTCTGTTCAATTACTGATTTTTACCCAGAGTTCTGATCCTAGTCACTTCTCCTTTCAGTCAACATTTTTTTTTGGCGGTGGGGTGGTGGGGTGGGGACAGAGAGTCTCACTCTGTCATCCAGGCTGGAGTGCAATGGCGTGATCTCGGCTCACTGCAACCTCTGCCTCCCCAGGTTCAAGCGATTCTCCTGCCTCAGCCTCTCAAGTAGCTGGGATTACAGACGCCTGCCACCACACCTGGCTAATTTTTGTGTTTTGGGTAGAGAGGGGGTTTTGCCATGTTGGTCAGGCTGGTCTCGAACTGCCTACCTCAGGTAATCCACCCGCCTGGGCCTCCCAAGGTGCTGGGATTACAGGCGTGAACCACCACGCCCGGCCTCAGTCAACAAAATTGTATCCATTTTTTCTGGACATTCTCAACCATTCCCAAGACTACAACCACTTACAGAGGAATACATTCAAGCGATCCAACACACATCATTCTCATTTTTCATTCAACAGATATTTAGGTACCAAGCACACAGTGCTGCCTATGTTATATCTCAACCTGAATGCCTCACAGGCACCCAAACTCAACATGTGCAAGACTAGAACTATTATTTACATAACTCTACTATTCCTCTTTATTCTTTGTTACCCAATCAGAAACCGTGTCCCTGACCTGACTCAATATTCATATCTGTCCTATTACAAAATCTATCCATTTCCTCTAGCCTATCTCCTTGTTTCATTCCTGACTTCCATTACTTTGGTTCAGGGTTTTATCTTTCTGGACTACTATACTGGGACAAACCTGGAGTCCCAAACCTGGAGTCCATCTAATCCACTGAGCACACTTGCCCAAGTGATTTTTCTAGACAACAAATATGATTGTCTCTTGCTAAAAAAAACTTTATTTTTTATTTTTTCATTTTTATTTTTTAGACAGAGTCTCATTCTGTCAGCCACGCTGGAGTTCAGTGGTGCAATCCTGGCTCACTGCAACCTCCACCTCCCGGGTTCAAGTGATTATCCTGCCTCAGCCTCCCATCTTGTTAAAAACTTTTTTTTTTTTTTTTTTGAGACGGAGTCTCGCTGTGTTGCCCTTGCTGGAGTGCAGTGGCGTGATCTCGGCTCACTGCAACCTCCACCTCCTGGGTCCACGCCATTGTCCTGCCTCAGCCTCCCAAGTACCTGGGACTACAGGCACCTGCCACCACGCCCAGCTAATTTTTTTTTTTTTTTTTTTTTTTTTTTTTAGTAGAGACGGGGTTTCACCGTGTTAGCCAGAATGGTCTTGATCTCCTGACCTCGTGATCCACCTGCCTCGGCCTCCCAAAGTGCTGGGATTACAGGCGTGAGCCACTGCACCCGGCCTTGTTAAAAACTTTTAATCACTCACCAATGCTTTAAGAATAAAAATTCCCACATCTCCTAACCCATCCTAAATTTCGGCCATATTGAGTCTTCACAATTTCAAGTATGTTATTTCTTCTCTTCCTGAAATATCCATCCCCTACTTGTTCTCTGTGCTATTACACCTTCAAGATAAGCCTGGGGCTGGGAGTCGTGGCTCACACCTGTAATACCAACACTTTGGGAGGCCAAGGTGGGCGGATCACATGAGGTCAGGAGTTCCAGACCAGCCTGGCCAACATGGTGAAACCCCGTCTCTACTAAAAATACAAAAATTAGGCCAGGCGCAGTGGCTCACACCTGTAATCCTAGTACTTTGGGAGGCCAAGGCAGGCGGATCATTTGAGGTCAGGAGTTCGAGACCAGACTGGCCAGTATGGTGAAACCCCGTCTACTAAAAATATAAAAAAATGAGCCCAGCATGGTGGCACATGTCTGTAATCCCAGCTACTTGGGAGGCTGAGACATAAGAATCGCTTGAACCCAGGAGGCAGAGGTTGCAGTGAGCCGAGATCACGCCACTGCATTCCAACCTGGGCGACAAGAGCAAGACTACGTCTCAAAAAAAAAAAAAAAAAAAAAAAAAAAAAAGATAAGCTTCGGTTATCTCCTTCAGAAAGCCAACTTTGATTCAACATTCAGCAAATACTGAGCTATATGCCATGCTCTGGGTATATGCATGAGCATGACCCCTATCCTTTTGGAAGTTAAGAGTCTAGGAGAAGCAGACATCAAACAACACATCTACAGGCAATTACAAAATATAGTATGAAAGAGGAAAAAAACAAATAGCTATGAGAGGGAATAAAAAGGGGCTATAATTTAAAGAGGGTGTGTGTGAATCAGGTGACTCTCCCCAGGCACCCAATCATCATACATGTGCAACTATCATAGCACTTATCACATTATTGTATCATTGTCTCCTTAGCTGCCTATCTTCCTCTTTAGATGGAAATTCTTCAAACCAAAGGTCAGATAAATTGACACTAACAAGCAAAATCTTAAAAAGAATAAAAAAAAAGGCAATGTCCAAATTCTAGTCCAGGTTTTTAAACTCCCAATTTTACTAGTGCATTTAAAAAAATAAAATTATGGGCCAGAGGTGGTGGCTCAAGCCTGTAATCCCAGCACTTTGGGAGGCCAAGGTGGTAGGATTGCCTGAGGCCAGGAGTTTGAGACTAGCCTGGGCAACAGAGCAAGATCTTATCTCTACCAAAAATAAAAATGTTAGTTGGGCACAGTGGCACGCCCCTGCAGTCCCAGCTACTTGGGAGGCCAAAGTGGGAAGATCACTTGAGCCCAGAAAGTAGAGGCTACAGTGAGCTGTGATCAAGCCACTGCACCCCAGCCAGGGTGACAGAGTGAGACCTCGTCTCTTTTTTTTTTTTTTTTGAGACGGAGTTCCGCTCTTGTTGCCTAGGCTGGAGTAAAATGGTGCTCTCAGCTCATCACAACCTCCGCCTCCCGGGTTCAAGTGATTCTCCTACCTCAGCCTCCCGAGTAGCTGGGATAACAGGCATGCGCCACCATGCCCAGCTAATTTTGTATTTTTAATAGAGACGGGGTTTTCCCGTGTTGGCCAGGCTGGTCTTGAATTTCCAACCTCAGGCGATCCGCCAGCCTCAGCCTCCCAAAGTGCTGAGATTACAGGCGTGAGCCACTGCGCCCGGCCTAGATCTCATCTCTTAAAAAATAAAAATAAAAACTAAAATTACTTTTTTACAGTCTTAATATCTATAAAATCCATACTAGAGGTTTACAAAGGATTGTCAAGTACAGGATCTGGTAAACACACTTTCACAAGTGGGTAAGAATAATTTTTAATTAGCATATTTAAGTGGGTTTTTAAAGTTTTGTAGAACTGACATTAAAATGAGATTTTAAAAATAAGTGCCCCTAAAAGTCTAATCACCCTGCTATCATCATCATCTCCTGGGCTCCCCCACGTGTCCTTACCCATTTACACATATAATTTTTATATATTTGGCTGCAACCCAACAAGTGGACATACAACCATTTATTTTGTATGCCCCATTAGTTGGACATGCAAATGTTATCTATATTTTCAAATTTATAGATAACTTTATGTTGATCATTTTTGTGCTTAGAGCATTTTTTATTCTTTTCAGAATATATTTCTAAGGATAAATATCCAGAAGTATATTAAAGCTCAAAGCATGTGGACATCACTTTTTATTATTATTTTTTATTTTTTTGGTTTTAAGAAATAGAGAGTTTAACAGGCAAGAAGGAGCAAGAAAGGAGAAGGAAGAAGCTTCCCTGTACAGAGACAGAGGGATGGGGGCTCCAAAGCCAACAGAGGGAACCCCCGACTTCTTTATTATTATTTATTTTATTTTTAGCAAAGATGAGGTCTCAGCATGTTGCCCAGGCTGGTCTCGAACTCCTGGTCTCAAGTAATCCTCCTACCTCAGCCTCCCAAAGTGCTGAGTTTACAGATGTGAGCCACCTTGCCTAGCCATCATCATTTATTCTTCAATACAAATTTCCAAATTGCCTTTGAAAAACAATGTACCATTTCTTTCATTCTGAATGTACTCAACATTTTCTATTTACTAAAATGTGGTAAAATACACATAATGTAAAACTTACTGTATTAACCACTTTTAACCATATAGTTCAATAGTGTTAAGTACCTTCACACTGCTGGGCAACCAATCTCCAGAACTTCCTTCATCTTGCAGAACTGGAACTCTACACTCCTTAAACAACTTCCCATTCTCCTCTCCCCACAGCCCCTGGCAACCAGCAATCTACTTTCTGTCTCCATGAATTTGACTTCTCTAGGTACCTCATGTAAGTGGAATCACAGAGTATTTGTCTTTTTGACTGGCTTATTTCACTTAGCATGATGTCTTTCAGGTTCATTCAAGCGGTAGCATGTGTCAGAATTTCCTCCTTTGAAGGCTGAATAATATTTCACTACACGTATATACCACATTTGGTTTGTTCATTCATCCGCTGATGGACACTTGGCTTGCTTCCACCTTTTACCTACTGTGAACAATGTGCTATGAACATGGTTGTGCAAATATCTCTTCGAGGCCTTGCTTTCAATTACTGTGGATATATACCCACACGTGGAACTGCTGGGTCACATGGTAACTCAACTTTTAACTTTCTGAGGAACCGCCATACCACTTTCCATAGTAGCTGCACCATTTCTCATTGCCACCAACAGTCCACGAGGGTTCCAGTTTCTCCACATCCTCACCAATACTTATTATTTGGGGGACTTCTGGTGATAATAGCCTTCCTAACAGGCGTGAGGTAGTATCTCACTGTCCATTTGATCTTTAAAATTATGACTATTCTTGAGACATTTCTGTAAATTTTATATATCAGAGCAAAAACAAATTTCAGTCCAGTTTTTCTTCAAATTTTTTTTTATTCTGAATAAGAGGAAACAAATTAGGCTTCAAAAAGCTAGTCTTCTTGTTTGCTTAGTCTTAACCGGATATTTATATTGGTCTAAAACAGGAAGAAAACTTATTAAATTACCCCAGAAATATGCAGGAATGCATTATGCATGATCCCAATTGGTAAGACTTAAAAGTTTTCTTAACTCTTATGTTTTATTTGTTTTTTTGTTTTGAGATGGAGTCTTGCTCTGTTGCCTGGGCTGGAGTGCAATGCTGCGATCTAGGCTCACTGCAACCTCCATCCCCCAGGTTCAAGCAATTCTCCTGCCTCAACCTCTAGAGTAGCTGGGATAACAGGCAACCACCACCACACCCAACTAATTTTTGTATTTTTCGTAGAGAGAGCGTTTCACCATGTTGGTCAGGCTGGTCTCGAACTCCTGACCTCAGGTGATCTCCCCACCTCGGCCTCCCAAAGTGCTGGAATTACAAGCAGGAGCCACCACGCCTGGCCAACTCTTATGTTTTATGTTAAGCAGATACTAATACTTACTAATTCACTAGATACGTACCAAACACTTTCTTTCCCATTTATTCAGCATTCCTTTATTGTATTTTTTATTTATTTATTTATTTATTTTGAGACAGAGTCTCACCCTGTTACTCAGGCTGGAGTGCAGTAGTGTGATCTCAGCTCACTGCAACCTCCACCTCCTGGGTTCAAGCGATTCTCCTGCCTCAGCCTCCTGAGTAGTTGGGATTACAGGCACGCGCCACCACACTCAGCTAATTTTTTGTATTTTTAGTAGAGACAGGGTTTCACCATGTTGGCCAGGCTGGTTTTGAACTCCTGACCTCAAGTGATCCACCTGCCTGGGCCTCTCAAAGTGCTAGGATTACAGGCGTGAGCCGGCCTCAGCATTCCTTTGATGCCAGGCACTGTGGCAGGTGCTGGGGATGTAAAAATGAATAAGAAAACATTGTCCCCATTACAACATTATGAAATATTGGGGGTATAATTATCCCCACTTTACATCTGAGGAACTTGAAGCTACTTATGTTTAGCATCTCGGCTAAGATCAGATAATTAGAGCTTGGGGAAGACGGAATTCAAATTCAAGTCTTACTTCAAAGCTCAACCTTTGTACTGTCCCACAGGCTACACTCTATACTATCGACAGTTACTATGAGGCCAGGCAGGGTGGCTCATGCCTGTAATCTCAGCACTTTGGGAGGCCAAGGCAGGCAGATCACTTGAGCTCAAGAGTTCGAGCCAGGCGTGGTGGCTCACGCCTGTAATCCCAGCACTTTGGGAGGCCGAGGTGGGCGGATCACAAGGTCAGGAGATCGAGACCATCCTGGCTAATACGGTGAAACCCCATCACTACTAAAAATACAAAAAATTAGCCGGGCGTGGTGGCAGGCACCTGTAGTCCCAGCTACTCGGGAGGCTGAGGCAGGAGAATGGTGTGAACCTGGGAGGCAGAGCTTGCAGTGAGCCAAGATCGTGCCACTGCACTCCAGCCTGGGCGACAGAGCGAGACTCCATCTCAAAAAAAAAATAAAAATAAAAAAAATAAAGAGTTTGAGACCAGCGTAGCCAACACAGTGAAACCCTGTCTCTACAAATTAAAAAAATTAGTCGGGCATGGTGGCTTGCGCCTGTAGTCCCAGCTACTTGGGAGGCTGAGGTCGGGGGAATCGCTTGAGCCCAGGAGGTCGAGGCTGTAGTGAGCCGTGATGGCACCACTACATTCCAGCTTAGGCAACAGAGGTTGCACCACCACATTCCAGCCTGGGCAGCAGAGCAAGACCCTGTCTCAAAATAAAAGAAGAAAAAAAAAACAAAGACGTTATTTAAGGGAACCCTTTTTATAAAGTAATAGGCACCTGAAATTTCTGTTTTTTACTTTATATTTCCAAATGTTGGGTTTTCAAAAGAGTGGCACAATGAAGGAAATCAGAAACAAAACAACAAACCTTGTAAAACCTCTTCCATTTAGGAGGTGATAATTGAATTAGAGGCACTTTATCAAGCAATGTTATCAAAGCACGCAAAGTAACAAAGAATATTTTAATAGAAACAAAAATAGTAAATCCTAGAGTGAGCTTTTAATATCTGCAGCTTACTAAAAAGTTCTTACTTTCCAAAGCTCACTGGCTGCCAAAAGTTCAAATTTTATAACTAAGCAGTTTGTTTCCTAGACGTGAGTCTAATTACAAACAGAAGATCCTTCCAGTCCTATATAAAATTCTCTAAGAGACAGAAACAATAAGATTTAAGGAGCCAAAGAATCAACAATTGCATTGACTCTCCATTTAAACAGACAAAACAGAAGGAAAAGAAAGAACAAAACAAAAAATGTTCTGGCTGAGGAAACTTTGGAAAAATAATAAACCTTCAAAAATATTTTTTCTCATCCCGTTTCAAACATTCTTCTTTCAGTTAAAAAAGTGGTTTTAAAAATAATTTGGTTCTAAAGGTTAAACTTTTAGCTAATATAATTCTGTATAATTTTTAATCTATGAAAAAATAAATTATACTGTATGAAAGCAAAAAATGCTACAAATAAGTATAACAACTTCAACGTACATAATCTTAGAAAAAAATTTTATGAGCACAATAGCCCCTTCTAATTTAGGTAATTTTTCTTATCAATATTCTCAATACTTCTATCAAAGTTAATCTCTAAATATTGAAGAAGAGTGGATAGGATAGGTACCCTGAAACTTATTCCCCCTTTAGAACTTTTAGAAATCTCAATATTAAGGATGAACTATTTAAAACATATGTGTATTTCTACAATGAGGTTTTTTGTAGTTGTTTTTTAAAGACATGCTAGTGAATACCGTGGCACTGTGAAATAAAACGTTTTGTTGAGCCAGATGGAATAGAAGAATGTATCTTACCGGTAAAGCAGAGGGGAAAAGAGACCTAAAACGAGTTTTGTGTACTTTTAGGTATAGAATAAGTTTGGGGAAAATAGCTAGGAATGCTTTGGTTAAAATCTCATAAGCTGTCTTTGATTAATTCAAATGTTCTGAATTCAACAAATATTTATTGATTACCTACCACGTTCCAAGCACTCTGCACAACACTCAGTATTAACAGATCAGAAATGGTCCCAGATCTTTTGGAACTTAGAGGGTACTGAACACATCCTTCAAAATTATCCTTTCTTTTGTGTGATTCCACGGTCATCAAATGACTTCTGAAATACAAATTCACACTACCCGAAGCTTAGTACCCATAAAACAGTATATTATTATATTAGTATATTGCCAAAATTATTATATTAGTATATTGGCAAAATCAGCCTTCAAGTCAATGTATATACCCTTATTTAAATTAATAAATCATTCAGGTTTGCACATCAGTCTTTTATGAGTTTAGTTGAGTGAATCCTCAAAACTTAATCAATTCTGATTAATTGGTTAGACGTAATTTCTGAAAATTCAAAATACAGTAGCTGACAATCAAATATAGTAATAGACTATTTCCATAAAAAGATCTTACCACCAAAATGAGTCTCTACTTAGTTTATCCTCTAACAAAATGCCTTTATTTCATAATACCCTTCACAAACTGCAATTAGTTAATCCATAAAACTGTTAACAATAAATGAGATACAGCACATGAGTGCTTCTCGAACTTTGTTTTTTGTTTTTGTTTTTTTTTTTTTTTGAGACGGAGTCTTACTCTGTCGCCAGGCTGGAGTGCAGTGGTGTGATCTTGGCTCACTGCAGCCTCCGCCTCCCCGGTTCAAGCAATTCTCCTGTCTCAGCCTCCTGAGTAGCTGGGACTACAGGGCGTGCCACCACGCCCAGCTAATTTTTGTATTTTTAGTAGAGACGGGGTTCACCATGTTGGCCAGGATGGTCTCGATCTCTTGACCTCGTGATCCGCCCGCCTCAGCCTCCCAAAGTGCTGGGATTGCAGGCGTGAGCCACCGCGCCCGGCCTTCTCGAAAGTTAATGTACATACAAATCACCTACAAACATGTTAAAATGAAGACTGATTCATTATTAGGTCGGTGGCAGCCAGTGATGTCCAGGCTGCTGTCCACGGACTACAAGGATACACACCTAGCACAGTGGTTGGCACCCAGACTACTCAGCCCAGTTAACTATTTCCTCCCATTTGTAAATTTCTCATCTCCCTTACTCATCTCACCTTCCTTGGAAGCAAAGACAATGTCTTTCATTTTCGTATCTTTCAAAGTTCTAAGTAGAATGCCTTATCTACATAATGGCATTGAATATATGTATTCTGAATGAATGGCATCCAGCTTTTAACAGTCATTACTTCTATGAGTTATCGACAAAATTGTTTCTCTGAATTTACTTTAAATGGAAAAAAATTGTTCAAAAGCTGAAAAATCAGGAAAGCTCTCAGTTTTTAAAAAACGAGAAATACTGTATTTGTACCATACTCCAGTGCGTTTTTTCTCATGCTGACCTAACCAAGTCTTTTTTAAGAAAATAAATATCCATAATTAC